>NC_000013.11:77347499-77499015 GCF_000001405.40 Homo sapiens | reverse complement strand
GAAAGTGATGCTCAGTGAGTTTTCATATATCACCCAGGATTAACCAGTGGGTGACAGCAGGAATTAGAACTCACCCAAATCACCCAATTGCAACTTTGTGCTCTTTCCATAATGCTGCAGAGCCATGTCTTTGCTAGATTTAATGGCACAATGATAGTCAGAGTAAGAAGAGATCCATGAATTATATCTTTGAGATTTTAAAGTCAATGAAAATTGCAATTCCATGTATGAAAACTCACTTTTAAAAAAATCAATGTTTCTTAAACACATTATATTCTCTGACATCTTTGGCCAATACATGTTTTTTTTTTTGGCACCAACTGCCCATCCCAGCATCTGTAGGAAACTGGGAAACTGCCTGACCACACCTGATGAGAGACAGCAGCCACATGGTGATTTCACCTCCCACCCCTGACAAGCAGGATTGTACCAAAGGAAGGCACTTCCCTAAAGGGCAACCAATCCACTGGCCTTCCAGAAACCAACACCCACGTGACCCAGCTTAAAAAGATGAACTGTGCCAAAGAAATTCCTCTCCTAAGAATGTGGGACTGAGTAGCAGCAGGGTCGGCGCCATCTTGTAGAAAGTATCAGGAGAACCATGATGGTCCACAGGGAAGCTGAAGTTATGAGGAAATAAAAATCAAACATGTAAGTAATAAGAGCTACCATTTATATGGTACTAACTATGTGCTTCACATTCTTAATTTATTGACCCTGTGAAGAAATTACTGTTATTAACAGGTCCCCACCTACCACCATTTTACTGATGAGAACACAGAGGCACAAAAGAATTAAGAAACTCATCCAGGGTCATACAGCTTAGGAGCACAAGATCAAAAGCCAGGCCCTGTGGCTTCACTGCCAAATTTAATTTCATATAAAGACAGCCTAGTATACAGACATAGAGAAGATAATAAATGACACAAGCAAAGAGAAACAGAAAGTCTCAAGAGAGAAAGATGCAGAGAGAGTGACATAGAGAGAGAGCATGCCATACCCCAAGAGGCCTCCAGTTCTCAGCTACACTTTAGCTCCCCTCAGATTCCCATGAAATCCCTGATTACATCCTCACATAGGAGAGCTTAAGTGCCTCTATTCCTTGTAGATAACAGATTCCTAAATAAAATAATATGATTTATTTTGATATTTTATAAATATAATACCCAAAGGTGCTAAGGTTCTAGCACCTATTTATTTCTTGTCTGAGTTAACGATTGGATATCTTCTAGATTTATGATCCAATAGGACAGATAAGATAGACAAATATGGACACAAGAGAAATATTTATAATCTCAAGAATGCAATGAGATTATGATGTAGATAGGAGTTAAAGAAACTGAATAAACTCAAAACTGTTGAGCATAAATCATGAAAATCTCCTGAAGAAATAAGGCATGAACTGGGAATGTAACAGAAGACAGGACTATGTTTGCTTAATATACAACTTGAATCACGGTGGGCGGAATACTTTTTGCCTCAGTAGAGAGGAGGAAAACACATTGAGAGGATTGGATGAGAAAGTGCATGTGTATGTGAGACAGAGAGAGAGACAGAGAGAGAGAGAGAGAGAAAGTGTGCACACCAGCTACTAGAATGTACGGGATAAAAAGAGAGCAGAAAATTAAAAACAAACAAACAAACAAAAAAAGCAGGTGTTGTACCACCATACAAGAAGAACCCAGTCCAGGATGATGAATTCCTATGGCCTTCTAAAAATCTGATATCTTTTTGGCTGATGCTTTAGTAATAGTATTTAAAACAAAATATAACATTTTATGTTTATGAAACCACCACTAAATTCCCATTTTGTACTTTTTTGTTGTTTTTTTTGTTTGTTTTTTTGAGATGGAGCTTTGCTCATGTCACCCACGGTGGAGTGCAGTGGCACAATCTTGGCTCACTGCAACCTCCACCTCCTAGGTTCAAATGATTCTCCTGCCTCAGCCTCCCAAGTAGCTGGGATTACAGGTGCACGACACCAGGCCTGGCTAATTTTTGTATTTTTAGTAGAGACGGGGCTTCATCATGCTGGCCAGGCTGGTCTCAAATTCCTGACCTCAAGTGATCCATCCGCCTTGGCCTCCCAAAGTGCTGGGATTACAGACATGAGCCACCGCGCCCAGCCCATTTTGTGACTTTTAATGAAATAATCAAGCAGACTTAAGTCAAATGCCTTCTTACTCAGTGTCTTCTAGCCACAGTGTGCCTTCCTTGCTATCCCATATGCTAACACACACTAGGCATTCAATAATAAATGCATGTGGACTGAATAAATAAACATTAGCATTATCTCCTCATTCAAATGTGAGATCATATCTATAAAATTTAACATCCCATACACAATTTTTTAATCAATTGTCCAGTGTCATGTCTTAAGAAGTCATAAAATTCTTTGCTCATGTCAACCTGCTTTCTGCCTTCCCACCAGACTATCTATTCACATTGAATCATGAGTTTTTTATGATCACAAAAGAGATGTTACAATATAAATTTTTAGTTACTTAGGCAGATTAGGTTTTCCCTAAATAAAGTGTCGGCAATGCTATTTTTGCACAGAGATTCCAAATAACAGCCCTGTCCTATCTAACCTATAAATTCCAAATGTGCTGGATTTGAAAAACTATGATACCAAATATACAAACTAAAAACACTAGTAATGTAAAAAGAAAAAAGTAATCATTTATAACCACCCATTCTAAAAGCAATTGCCGTAAAATGAAATTTAGAGTCCTGTTGAGTGTGTCAAGGACCTGTATAGCAAACCTACAGAAAAAAGCCTCTTTTTTTTTTTTTGTCGAGGGGATTTATACTCTCTTCATGTCTGCTAATTTATTCCAACTGCAAAAGAAAACATTCAGGATGAAAAATTATAGGAATAAATAAAGATTCACACATTTACAAATGAACATTAGCACATGCAATTTTTACAAAGCTTAAGTGAACTGGTAAGTACCTCTTGGAAGCGTTGTTATTATTTCAGGACAGATGAGCAGGCCAAATAAAAACTAAAAACAAAGATCAATGTCATAAGATATTTCAATATATTATAAAGCTATAGTATGTAAGATATTCATATTTGCTGAAAAATATATATATATATAAACAAACAAAACCTTGACCATATCATAGATTTAAACCTTCAAAGTTAAAAGATTTAAATTTTAAGTCCAAGCCTTTTTTTGAAAAAAGAAGAAATCTGAAGTATTGGAAAACTTGATATAAAATCTTTTGAACACTATGTCAAACAATTAAATGAGAAACTTGAAAAAACATTTGCAGCAAATTCAATAAAGTTAATTATTTTAAAACAGATACAGATAGAGCTGCACAACAATGTGAAGATACTTAATGCCCAGAACTGTGCACTTGAAAATGGTCAAAATGGTAAATTTTATGGTTTATGTTTATATTTTATCACAATAAAAAATATACACATGTGTAAATTCAGTAGGAAAAAAACTAAGGACCTAATATATTCATGGGAAAGAGATGGCTAGTTACTTCAAAAAATAAAACATCACTTATCAAATATTTGGGAAAGTGGTCAACCTCACGGATAATCAATCTCAAAAGCAGTATGGTCCTATGATGGTCTATCAAAAATATATCTCCTGCAAAGGTTTTTAAGGAACTAAACCCAACCATAGGTTGTAGTCTTGTGAAATGGGTACATTCCAATATCAGATCCCTTCCTGATGGGACCACAACCTGTCATAACATCTTTAGAAGCAATTGACATACTTTAGAAGGTATTGCCATGGGTGTGTTGGATTGTTACTCAACAGCCATTTCTCTTATTCTAAAATAATTAGACTAAAATAGTTTCCTAACTTGCTAAACTGCAAAAGCCAGAAAGCTGAAACTCCATTTTCCAGATGCCCTGGTCGCTGCAATTCTGACATGGTTTGTGTTGGTACAAGTCAATGCCTCTTGGTGAGATTTGAGAAGCAGACATGAGGCAGAGGCCTTTTTGGCTGCTTGGCATTTCTTTTGGCAACCATAGATGTAGAGGCATTTGGGTTTATGATGACAGAGTTAAGAGAACTACAGTGTCCCTTCACTGTCTTTACATAGGTCAGATCTGAGGCATCCATTTGCTGGCATGAGTTTCAGCCAGCATGGTGTGGTTCTGGATCCTGCAGTGCTGGTGGTCACTTTTCAATTCAGCAGGTGGTTTCCTGACCATTCATAAAAGAGGCATCAGTACCCTTGCTGGCCCAATTCAGAGGAAAGCATAGAGAATTATTCCTGGAAGTTCAATCTAGACTTTCTCCCCGGATTCTGTAAGGCTTTTAATATCTTATAATAAGTATTTTTCTATTATTCTCCATGGCTTTGTTCTCTCACTGAACCCCAGTTGATATATGCATCAAAAATATTTTAAATGTTTATATTTGTGGCCTAATCATTCCACTTCTGGAATTTTAGCCTATGAAAATAATACTTCAGATGGATAAGGTTTGTAAGCAAAAATATGTACTATAACATTATTATTTCAACAATGGGGACTAATTAAGTAAAGCACTGTTTTCCTGCTTTTATTCCAAAAGACAATGAAAATTACGTCAGGTTTGAACAGGGGAGTGATATTTTCTGACACGGTTTTAAAAATCATCACACTTGTGCCAAGAACAGAATGATTATTATTTTTGAAGCCAGGTGGTGGATTCAGAGGAGCTTACTCCAGTCTTCTTTCTACTTTTGTGTACACTTGAAATTTTCCATAATAAAAATAAAAGAACAAATGTCATGCAATATGTAATGTAACACCAACTACGTTAAGAACACTCTGTGTAGGAGAAAATATAGAAAAAAAACCTTAAAATTTTGAGGTTGTTGTTACTATACCTCATTTGAATATCTTTCCTGTGATTGACAGAATTCTAAGGACCCAAAACTATATATCATTCCCTCCTCCCCGAGTGTTGGCTGGTCCTGTGAATATGATGGAATATTGTTCCTGTGATTTTATTTTGTTATATGGCAAAAGTGAAGGGATTTCACAGAGGTAATCAAAGTACCTACAATTGACTTTGAGTTCGTCAATAAGATTACTCCAGAGTGGGTCTGACCTACACATGTATGTCCTTTGACAGGGGCCTAGACCTTCCCTGAAAGGAAAGATTTCTGTGACCTTGCAGAAACAAGCCACCATGAGTTCTACAGCTGCAGAAAATGAATTCTGTCACCACAACCTTAGCTTGGAATGGGACCCCAAGCCTCCAACCAGACCATAGCCCTGGCCGACACCTTGAACACAGCCTTGTGAAACTCTGAGCAGGGGACCCAACTAAGCCAAGACAAGATTCCTGACCCACAGAAGCTGTGAGATAATAAATGTATATTGTTTTAAGCTACTAAGTATGTGGTGATTGGTCATGCATCAATAGAAAACTAACACATTTACTTTTCACTTTTCTGAATTTTCTAGATTATCTATAATAAATATGTTTATTTTATAATAGAGGAAAAAACTTTTTACAACAAAAATAAAAGAGAATTAATGTGGATAATTCAGGCTATATATTCCAGAAAAGAGAACTGACATCATTTTTCTTCATGTTATTAACAAAGTACTGCATTAAATAGGAGGAAATTTTCTCTTTGTACTTTAATGCTCTGGATCAAATCCAAAGTTACCCAGCTCAAGGCTAAAAGTGAACACACTCCGTATAACTGAACTAATGGTTTCTGAAACAAATGTACTGAAAGATAAGCCTTTGCACCATTCTTCTCTTGCTGTACTATGATTCACTGAAACCATCCTGAATAAACAGATTTTAATTTTGGTTTAGATTCCAACACCCAGCAGGCTACCCCACTGATTAATGATGATAAAACTAAGCAGAAAGGGAAGCCATTCATGAAACAAACAATATAACCATCAATCAAGCTCACAGCTGATAATATTCAGATACTGAATAGTACTTGACTCTCTAGCACCACTCCATGGAGACCTGCTGAGCAGCTAAGTGCTTTAAAATTAATAACAAGATCAGCAGTGCAAAGGTTGATGGTGTCAATGGGGATGAGGACTCAAGGATATAATGCAGTATTTACGGATCATCCATGATGAGCTAGTTTCTCTACAATGCATGCTTAGTTTAAATCCTATATTAGGATTTAAGCTTCTATATTAGAAGTACAAATACTTCTTTCTCTGACACGCATCTGCCTCCTGCATCAGTCATATGGGGAAGTTAAATGGAGACCGTTGCATCTTTTGTTTTTGTTTTTGTTTTTTTGTTTGTTTGTTTCTTGAGATGGAGTCTCGCTCTGTCGCCCAGGCTGGAGTGCAGTGGCACGATCTTGGCTCACTGCAAGCTCCGTCTCCTGTGTTCACACCATTCTCCTGCCTAACCTCCTGAGTAGCTGGGACTACAGGCGCCCGCCACCACACCTGGCTAATTTTTTGTATTTTTAGTAGAGACAGGGTTTCACCGTGTTAGCCAGGATGGTCTCGATCTCCTGACCTCGTGATCCGCCCGCCTCGGCCTCCCAAAGTGCTGGGATTACAGGTGTGAGCTACCACGCCTGGCCGACCCTTGCATCTTTTAAGTCCCTACTGGTAAATTTTTGGTTCCTTCAGCCAAGTAAAATTGTTTTCCATTTACTACTTTATGTATTTGGTGTTGTGTATTACTACATTATTTATTCAATCTATGTCTACACTGGGCACCACAAGAATCCCAGCCCTATTTCCCTCTATTCTAATCCCAATTGGCTCCATGAGAAATGAAGAATTCCTCACTCCTCACCCCACCCCTAATTTATTTTTGCCAGGACATTAAATCACTACCTGACACACCATATATTTCACCTGTTAATTTTTCTTCCTCTAAAATTTTCACTCCACTAAGGCAGAAAATTTTGGTTGGTTGGTTCACTAAAATATTACCAGTCCCCAGTGTCTGACACACAGTAGGCAATCAATAAAAATTGTTCAAATGAATGAACAGATGAATGAATGGTATTCCCAGGAACTAGCTTAATTCTAGTTTAACTCTGAGCAACTGTTGTATTACCCCTAAAAGGTCTAGACATTTCTCTTTCCCAATGCACAGTCATCCCAATAGCTGAAGGTCCCTTTGCAGAAGGCTGGAAGAAATATGCTTATGTGATATGAACACAGAGTTCTTTTTCAAGAGTACCTAGGCATCCTTTTAGTATCTGAAAATTTAAGTTTGGAAATTGGTAAAAGGCCAACACTTTCTTATGTGGTTTGAATTTAGGTCCCTGATGGCCATACCTAGAGTCTTTGAGTTTTGGTTGGTGTTAGTATTATTTTAGAAATCAAATATTCTCTTGCTGGGTTGTACATATAATTTATTTCTAGGACACCAATGACTGATTAGCAAATGTCAAAGATTTCTAGGGTTAGACCATTTTGACGACACACTGACTCCCCCTCCACCTTCTCCACATCTGCCCAGACCCATTTGCGTCCAATGTTTAAGTGCTGCTATGGGGCTTCTGCTACTCTGGGATCCTAGTATCCCAGTGAAATCAGAGAGCTCATTTCAGCTGTGTCTCCTCTCACTGCATTCTAGATCCACAAAGAACATCCTCTATAGGGATTTTTTTAATGCTGGAATTCTCTTCACCAATGAATTTCTCAATGCATGCATCAACAAGGCCTTGGAGCCAGAGTTAAGAATTAAGAAATTGATGGCACACAAAAAAATTCCCTCCCACTTTCCTACATCTGTTTCATTTCTTCCTTTATAGTATAACACAAATATCTAGGCCACCGCTGAGTCCAAGTTTCATCAGTTGACCACAATAAGTAACTACAATCAACCCCAGTTGAATATTGTGTTCAACCTAGTCACAATCTAGGTACCCGCACCTAGATTGTATATAGATGAGGTGCAGGTACATATATTGACATATCGTACTTGATCTCAATCACAGTCCTCCCACTTTAGTCAACATCCTCAGAATTTATTGCCACGTGCATCAGCCAGATTTTTGCAAACATAGCAGCAAAATTTTGTAAATTTGGGGAGTTTGACTTTAAAATAGGCTCTGGGACATGCCTACCTTGGTTGCAGGGGAGGACAGTGCACTGGCATGGGAAGATTTACACACTGAGCAACCCAACTTCTCTCACGTCTCCACCCTGTGTTGGCACCTACTTAATACCCTATGTCAGAGCCCCAACTTTGATCTAAGAGGCTAGAAAAGGTTATACATTGATGTAAAGAAGCAACTTGGAGGATAAATCTTTGAGTGTGGGTTCCAATTCAGCACTATCTTAGAAAGAGACTAGTTTTCAGTGGGTGGCTTGAGCTGAGAGTTGAAGACTTTCAGTTTGTCATTTTCTGCCATTGAAGTGTCCATTGCTTAACTCTACAATCCTTGAATTCCTCCACACCCTTCAACCACTCTCTTGCAGCATACATTTTTCCTCCCAAACCTAGCATTCAAGGGGGCTATCACCCGAGTGGACACAAGTGATCATTTGATTAACTGTTTTGTTTTGTTTTGTTTTTTCTTCACAAATTTCGATGGATGCTCAGGTTCAGTTTCTTAATATCAACCTGATTTCCAATTCCCCTTAAACCCTACCAAGACAGAGAATAAAGTACAGTTTCCCTCCTGTTTTCCTGAATAACTGTTGCCTACAACTTCTGGCACAATTTTCAGTCACAGTCAGGACTTTTAGATGCAAATAATAGAAACTGACCCTGGTTAATTAAAGCAGAAACAGAAACTATTTAAAAGATGTTGGATAGCCCATATATTCTCTGGGAGGGCTAGAGAAGCAAACTTATGGATTTTACAGCTGGAAACAATTCCCACAGTCAAACCACAAGACTTATCAGGTAAAGACATTGGAACTCCTGCTGGACCCAGACAGCACAGCACCTTCCAGCAGCCAGTGACCAGACCCTGGGTGCTGCTGCAGGAACTCTACTGCCACTGCTGCCTTTGAGAACCAAATATGGTTGCCGCCTCCACCCCCAAATGTTGTCCAAATATATTCTGGGTGGTGTGTGCTTCCTTGTGTCCCAGTTTCTCATAGTCTCGAGAGAAGATGGATCTGATTGGCAGAGCCCAGCCCCATGCCTTAACAGCAAGAACCCTGGAGAGGTGAGTAGCTGGATGGCATCAGAGGGAGAGCATTTCCCAAACATAGAGAGTGGGTTCTGATACCTGGATGGCAAAAAAGAAATTGGTAAATCTCCATCATACTGGCTTTATGAGAAATGATAAGGTCTGTGAATACAGACAGCCCCAGTTTCAATTTGTGCACTTTCTTCACTTTCTATTTGACATTGGGCAAGTTCATCTCTCCGAGCTTTGTTTTTTCTCGTAAGTAAAAACCTTCCCTTGCAGAAATTAAAAAGTAAGTTATGTGGATAAGATAATTCAAAAAGTGAAAGCTATTACTTGAAAAGATAATTGAGATATATATAATATTTTGTGAGGCCTCATCTTGGTAAAATATTCAACTTTTCATATATTTATGCCTATTCTCCCTAACTAGAGGATCATGTTTTATACTAGTTTGTATGTTTTATACTAGTTTGTATTTCCGCAGAGCAGTAAACACACAGATACATACGTGTGCACTTAATAAATGAACTAATATCCCAGATTATAAAATAAAATGAGAAATAGCG
The DNA here is from genome assembly GCF_000001405.40 of Homo sapiens. Taxonomy (NCBI): domain Eukaryota; kingdom Metazoa; phylum Chordata; class Mammalia; order Primates; family Hominidae; genus Homo; species Homo sapiens. The sequence continues at coordinate 77,489,383 of NC_000013.11, read as the reverse complement.
AACACTGATGCAAAAAACTGAAGAGGATACAAAAAAATGGAAAGCTATTCCATATTCATGGATTGGAAGAATTAATATTGTTAAAATGTTTATACCACCCAAAGCAATCTACAGATTGAATGTCATCTCCATCAGAATATCGATGACATTCTTCACAGAAACAGAAAAAAAAAATCCTAACCATTTACATAGAACCACAAAAGACCCAGAATAACCAAAGCTATCCTGAGAAAAAACAACAAAATGAAAGGAATCACATTACCTGACTTCACAAATTACACTACAGAGCTATAGTAATCAATACATCATGATACTGGCATAAAAACAGACACATAGACTAATGAAACAGAATAGAGAATCCATAAATAAATCTATACATCTACAGTGAACTAGTTTTTGACAGAGGTGCCAAGAATGTATATATTGGGGAAAGGACAATCTCTTCAATAAGTGGTACTTGGAAAACTGGATATCCATATGCAGAAGAATGAAACTAGACCCATATGTCTTGCCATACACAAAAATAAAATCAAAACGGATTAAAGACTTAAATATAAGACTTCAAACTATGAAACTACTAAAAGAAAACTATTGAGAAACTCTCCAGGACATTGGTCTGGGCAAAGATTTCTTGAGTAATATCCCACAAGCACAAGCAACCAAAGCAAAAATGGACAAATGAAATCACATGAAGTTTAAAAACCTCTACACTGCAAAGAAAACAATCAACAAAGTGAAGAGACAACCCACAGAATGGGAGAAAATATTTGCAAACTATCCATTAATCTCTTGTCAATACTTTACAAGAACCCCATTCTGTGGGGTTCTGTGGGGTGTTGTTGACTACAGTCAACAATAATTTATTGTACATTTAAAAATAACTAAAAGTAATGGATTGCTTGTAACATGAAGAAATGATAAATTCTTGAGGTGATGGATACCCCATTTACTCTGATGTGATTATTATGCATTTTATGTCTCTGTATCAAAATATCTCATGTACCCCATAAATATAATATACCTACTATGTACCCACAAAAATTTAAAAAAAAATCATTTTAATGAGCGACAGCAATGCTTCATTCTATAGCAGTGAATCAAAGAATATATGGATATAGGGTATGTTCCACAGCAAGTCTGAAGTGGATTTCTAGGGGGCCTCCATTGATGACTCCTTTTATGGACTGATGCTTGTGTGTCCCCAAACTTTACATGTTGAAACCTAATCTCCAGTGTGACGGTATTTGGAGATGGGGCCTTTAGAGGGTGATTAGGTCATGAGAGATAGTCTTTGTAAATGATATTAGTGCCATTAAAAGGTACTGAGGTATAGTGCTGAACACCAGGTATTCTGCAGAGGCACAATAAAATTTTAAAGAGTTTATTTGAGCAAACTGATTTGTGAATCAGGAGCTCCAAACCATGAGTGGTTTGGGGGCTTCTTTGGAGAAGCATTAAAGACAGACTTTTAGAGAGTGAATACAGATGTAAAACAATTTGGTTATAGTTATACAGTTGCCTTACTATTTTGTCTATCTTGTTGGAAAGTCCCTAGTTATATAGTTATATAACTATAATTTAGTTGGCAGCTTCTGATTGGTTAGCCTTAAGTTTCATTTCTGTTTAATATAGGCATTTATAAGAAATAGCTCAAGTTAACTTTTGGCTATATTTGCAAATCAAGCCGGGTTAAGGTCAGTTACGAAGGCTAACTGGCTTTGTCTGCTCAGGGGTTCTGCAGGCCTGGCTTTCTGTTTTAATTTATTTTAACAGCGCCCTTATTAAAGGGACCCAGAGAGACCCCTTACCCTTTTCACCATGGGAATACAGCACGAAGACAGTCATCTACGAACGAGGAAGCAGACTCTCACTAGACACTAAATCTGCCAGTGCCTTGACCTTGGACTTCCCAGCCTCCAGAACTGTGAGAAATACATTTCTGTTGTTTATGAGCCACCAGTCTAATGCAGTTTGTATAGCAACCTAAAAGAACTGAGACAACTACAAAATGACAGATGTCTTATTCTGCATCACACTGGGCTCTAAAAGACCACCAAGTGTGAATAACCCCAACTGTACATCACTATTATAAACCACTCAATAAAAAGTTTCAACTATCTGAACTAAGTCAACCCAAGGAAAAACAAATGGCAGTATCTGCAAATAATTAGTAACAAGAGTAGTATGTTTCTTGTACGCATAAAAAATTATGCCACTAAGACTAGCTTTGAGTTAATAGTAATGCACTAAGAAATATTTTAAAGTATATATAATTTTCTATTTACTCATTCACAATAATGAGGAATGCATCCACTAGATGATTAACTTCCTAAAGTATAAATCTGATCATTTCCCTATCTTCTTCAAATTCTCCACTGATTCTCAAAATAGACCCCTAGACCTATGAGAATGGAGATTATACATGAAACACAGGTAAATGAAACCTGATTTAAATATTTTTAAATTTATTTTACACTTAATCAGTGATTAAATGTAAATATGTGAAATATTTACAGTGAAAATAGTGGTTTTTTCCGACTGTCACTAACAAATATTAAAGATTCTATCCTCAACGGAAAAAACGAAAAATGGCCTCCTAGTTCTCCTACTACAGTATGACCTTGGCAAGTCACTTGACATCTCCAAGTTCAGTTCCTACATTGCAAAATGAAGAAATTGGACAACATCCTTTCCAGCTCTGAAAGGTTGTCATCTCTACTTTGCCAATGTCCACTGGCTCCATGCTCCACGCCACCCAAAGTGGGCTCCATTTCCATTTGCCTTGATCAATCAAGGTAATCAGCCACAGGAGATAAAACATAAATTGTAAAGTTGCCAATTCTGAGTCATATAAGCAAAAATAATCTAGTTACTCAGCATTTCCATAATGCTTTATTATATTTTTCAAACAATGTCTGGCCATCAATCAACACAAACCATAGTCATAAACCATAAAAGAAGACACAGAGACCAATGAAATTAATGTTGACAAAACTCACCCAACAGGTCAAAAGCAGAGAAAATTACATGTTAACATTATGAGTGAATGATCATACTGTGTGAGCCACACGCATTTCTGGTACAGAGTTGTATAACATAACACTCAGGTAACAGAAGGACATCACAATCTGGATTGGACCTTACTTGTGGGGTCCTCTTCTCCTCTCTACCCCACTCACACTGGCTTACTTGGAGCTGGGAGGATGTCTACCTGACAGCCACGAACCACTATACTGACCCTCCCATTTATCCCTCTTTTTTACAGTTAAATAGTTCATTCACCCTCCCCTGAGCATTTGTTATGCCTGCCAATGTTTCACATCACCTCAAATCAATAATTGAATGCCCCCCACCCCCCCGCCCCAGCCATCTCCTCTACTGCCATTGCCTATATGGCCTCAGCTCTTCTTTGTTCTGCTCCAGGCACACAACCTCTCTTCCCTATCACACATGGTGGATGCCTCACAGCATCCTCCCTCCCTCCTCTGTTCCTCCTTAGACTCTGCCACCCATCATGTATCTGCCAGCTCCATCTCTGTCACTACTCGCTCCTCCAGCCCTAGTGGCCCCCATCATGGCTCAGCCTTCCCCAAACGTGGTGCTTTATCTTACTATGTGGGACTCCCTCGGGACCTCATAGCAGCAACCCAGTGGCTTTGGCCTGGCATCCCCCAGACCCACTTCCCTCTTTTTATTAAAATCTCAACCAGGAGGAACAGAGCAAGATAGCAGAATAGAAGCCTTCACCGATTGCCTCACCTCCCCAAGCAAGGACACCAACTTATCAACTATCTACACACAAAAAATGTACCTTTATAAGAACCAAACCTCAGATAAGCACTTATAGTACCTAGTTTTAACATCATATCACTGAAAGAAGCACCGAAGAGGTAGGATAAACCCTTGAATGGATAAAGAAAATGTAGTACTTATATAATACTCAGCCATTAAAAAATGAGATGCTGTCATTTGCAACAACATGGATGGAACTGGAGATCATTACGTTAAGCGAAAGAAGCCAGACACAGAAAGACAAACATCACATCTTCTCACTTCTTTGTGGGATCTAAAAATCAAAACAATTGAACTTGTAGAGATAGAGAGTAGAAGGATGGCAACCAAAGCCTGGGAAGGGTAAGTGGGGAAGAGGGGGATGGGAATGGGTAATGGGTATAAAAAAAATAGTAAAAAAAAAAAAAAAAAAGAATAAGACCCAGTATTTGATAGCACAACAACAGGGTGACTATAGTCAGTAATGATTTAATTGTACATTTTAAAATAACTAAAAGTATAACTGATTGTTGTAACACAAAGGATAAATGCTTGAGGAGATGGATATCCCTTTTTCCATGATGTGATTATTACATATTGCATGCCTATATCAAAACACCTCATGTACCCTGTAAATATATACACCTACTATGTACCCACAAAAATTAAAATTAAAAATTAAAAAAAAATTGAACCAGATTAAAAGTGACACTATTGGGCAGTGACCAAACCTTAATTTGGGGTAAGGAAATAACCTGTAGAATTATAAAACATAACTTTTTCTCTTAAATAATAGTAACCTACTAGGGATGACACTTCTGAAAATTAATAATTAAGTTTTTCAATGAAAATATAATGAAATCATGCTTTATTCAACAGATATTGAGTGCCTCATATGTCCTGGACATGAAAAGATGAAAAAGACATATTCTTAAACTCAGAAAGTATACTTCATGCTAAGAGAGGTAGATGTGCAAGCAACTAAACAATGATGACATAGTTGCTGAAGTAGAGGCATGATTTAGGTGGAAGAAAATACAAAACAAGGTGCTGCTCTGGCATAGCTCCACCATACGTGATATTTACTTCAAGATATTAAAATTATGGTGTCTCTGTTTCTCCCTTTAAATTATAGGCTTTTGAGGAACCAAACCATGTCTGTGACATTTTTTTATATCTCCAGCATCTAGAAAATACTATGCCTTGCATATAGTAATCACTCAATAAGTGTTGACCTGAATAGAGAATGAACTGCATTGTTGCTTCTGCCTAAGACACAGGGAAGACTCATGGATGGATTTTCAGAGGAGGTAACATCTACGCTAGATTTTAAAAGATGAATTGGACAGTACTGGAAATCCTAACCCGAGCAACCAGGCAAGAGAAAGAAATAAAAGGTATTCATATAGGAAGAGAGGAAATCAAACTCTCTCTCTTTGCAGACTATATGATTTTACACCTAGAAAACCCCATAGTCTCTGCCCAAAAGCTCCTAGATCATCTGATGAACATCTTCAGCAAGGTTTCAGCATACAGAATTGATGTACAAAAATCAGTAGCATTTCTACACACAAACAACATCCAAGCTGAAAGCCAAATCAAGAATGTAATCTCATTCACAACAGCCACAAAAAATAAATAAATAAAATAAAATACTTAGGAATACAGTTAATCAGGAAGGTGAAAGATCTCTACAACAAGAATTACAAAACACTGCTCAAAGAAAACAGAGATGACACAAACAAATAAAAAAAATTCCATGCTTATGGATAGGAAGAATTAACATTGTGAAAATGGCCATACTGTTCAAAGCAATTTACATATTCAATGAGATTCCTACCAAACTATCAATCACATTGTTCACAGAATTGGAAAAAAACTATTATAAAATTTATATAGAATCAAAAAAGAGCCCAAATAGCCTAAGCAATCCTAATAAAAAGAACAAAGCTGGAGGGATCGCATTACCTGACTTAAAACTATGCTACAAGGCCACAGTAACCAAAACAGCAAGGTACTCTTACAAAAGCAGACACAAGGACCAATGGAACAGAATAGAGAGCCCAGAAATAAAGCCACATACCTATGACCATCTGATCTTCAACAAAGTCAACAAAAACAAGCAATGGGGAAAGGACACCCTGTTCAATAAATGGTTTGGGCATTACTGGCTAGCCATATGCAGAAGATTGAAACTGGACCCCTTCCTTATACCATATACAAAAATAAGCTTAAGATGAATTAAAAACTTAAATGGAAAACCTAAAACTATAAAAACCCTGGAAGAAAACCTAGGAAATACCATTCTGAACATAGGCCCTGCAAAGATTTCATGACAAAGATGCCAAAAGCAATTGCAACAAAAACAAAAATTGACACATAGGATCTAACTAAACTAAAATTGGCAAATGGAACCTAATGGCAGAGCAAAAGAAGCTATCAACAGAGTAAAGAGACAACCTACAGAATGGGAGAAATTATTTGCAAACTATGTATCTGACAAAGGTCTAATATCCAGAATTTATAAGGAACTTAAACAAATAAACAAGCAAAAAACAAATGACCCCATTAAAAAGTGGGCAAAGGACATGAACAGACACTTTTCAAAAGAAGATATACATGTGGCCAACAAGCATATGAAAAAATGCTCAACATCACTCATCGTTAGAGAAATGCAAATAAAAACCACAGTGAGATACCATCTCACACCAGTCAGAATGGCTATTATTAAAAATTTGAAAAATAGCAGATGCTGGTGAAGTTGTGGAGAAAAGGGCACAGATATACACTGCTGGTGGAAATGTAAATTATTTCAGCCATTGTGGAAAGCAGTTAGGTGATTTCTCAAAGAACTTGAAACAGAACTATCATTTGATCCAGCAATCCCATTACTGGGTATATACCCAAAGGAATATAAATCATTCTACCATGAAGACACATGCAGAGGTGTTCATTGCAGCACTATTCACAATAGCAAACACATGGAATCAACCTAAATGCCCATCAACAATAGAATAAAGAAAATATGGTACATATACACCATGGAATACTACACAGCTATAAAAAAGAATGAAATCATGTCATTTGCAGCAACATGGATGGAGCTAGAGGCCATTATCCATGGCTCACGCCTGTAATCCCAGCACTTTGGGAGGCCGAAATGGGTGGATCACGAGGTCGGGAGATCAAGACCATCCTGGCCAACATGGTGAAACCCCATCTCTACTAAGAAAAATACAAAAAAATTAGCCAGGTGTGGTGGCCGGCGCCTGTAGTCCCAGCTACTCGGGAGGCTGAGGCAGGAGAATGGCATGAACCCGGGAGGCAGAGTTTGCAGTGAGTCAAGATTGCACCACTGCACTCCAGCCTGGGCAACAGAGCGAGACTCCATCTCAAAAATAAATAAATAAATAAATAAAAGAAAAGAAAACTAACAGAGAAACAGAAAACCAAATACCACATGTTCTTACTTATAAGTGGGAGCTAAACATTCAACACACATGAGCACAAAAAAAAGAACTATAGACACTGGGGCCTACTTGAGGGTGGAATGTAGTAGAAGGGTAAGGATTAGAAAACCACCTATCAGGTACTATGTTTATTACCTGGATGAGGAAATAATCTGTACACCAAACCCCTGTGACACGCAATTTGCCTATAGAACAAACATGCACACATACCCCTGAACCTAAAATGAAAGTTAAAAAATTAATGTAATTTAAAAATAGAAGATGAATTGAAATATTTTATGAAGATAAAGGACTAGAATAGGATTTGCAAAACTTTGGGAGACATAAAATAACAATTGCAATAATAACAGCTAACATTTAATATGTCAGGAATTATGCTCAGCACTTATATGCATTTTCCTTTCTTACACCAACCATGTGTCGTAATTACAGTTTTCACAGATGAAGAAACTGGGGCATGCAGTGGTTAAGAAATGAAGTCACAGGACAGGTGAGTGATGAAGCTGGGATTTGAATCCCAGGGACACCCATGATTCTCTGACTCAAGAGCCTGTGAACTAGGTAATACTACATTCTCCTCCAAAATTGTGCCAGCTCCAGTGTCACAAGCAACCCAGTACCTATGGTCACCCATTGTCTCACCGTTCCTCAGAGTGGATATCCATCTGTCCTTTCTACTCACATGACTCTACCATTTTCATGACATGACTTCCCTATCTCCCAGCTGCTCTTTTAATCTATTTCATCTTTGCTTCTCTCTGCTATTGCGTCTCTGTTCCTCCTGCTTTCTACTCCTCTCTCTCTGTGTCTCACATTCATGCTCTCCAACAGAGCGCCTCATTGTGTTAGAGTAACCATCTGTAGCCACCATTCATTGGTTTGGGCTATCCAGCACCCAACTCCTGTTGACATTCCAATTTCCTTTTGGAGGAATCTCCAACTACGTAGATGTAGAAATGGAATCCACATTCCACACAGTAGCCAATGGGCCAACGCTCTCTCTTCCTGCCCAGCCCAGCTATGGAACACACATGTCACTTGGCCTCTTCCTATCAGACAAGTGTAGAGACAGCTCTGGGCCACCCCATTGAAGAAGAAGCAGCAGAGGCCGTAAGCTGAACCTGTTGCTCCTCAGATGTAACGTTTGCTGTGCTCCCATGCACAGCCCCAAAGCACTTCGGTTTCTGTCTCTTTTCAAAGCAAGGTCCTCCAAGCTCCTGTAGATATGTGAGACACAGATATCCTTCTAGGGAATCCCGCGTTGAGGTTAAATTTGCCAGAATTATTTTCTATTGCTTGCAAACAGGAACCCAAACAGAACTCAGGCATTAATGTAGTTTTGGCTGTCATATCTGAGCTGCTTCGGCTGCCACCCGTATCCATAATCCAATCCAATGAGGCCAGGGTAGCAGGACCACATGACCAAAATCATCACAGCTTCTGTTCAAGGGGCCATTTGTGGCCTCTGTATTCTGGAGGGAACTGGGGGCTGTTATTTGGACTCTCAGAACTTAAATCAATACCCTGGGAGAAACTGAGTCATGTTTATATGTCGAGGGGATTAAGCCAGGGACCAATGGGAGATGAAAGATACATGAGAGAGAAGAGACAAGGATGCAGCAAGGGCTCTGAGGAAATGGGAGCGAGGTGGAGAGACTGGTCTCAGAAAATAAGAGAAAAAAATAAAAGAGGAGTCTTTTTGCTCTACCCCACCCACTCCTGAGAAAGGAGGTAAGGGCAAGATTGCAAAGTTAAGTATGCTTACTGAATAGAAGGAACTTGAAGGAGTTATTGTAAATAGATCCTGCTTCCTCCGTGAGGTAAGAGACAAGGGCATCTGCTGACAGTGAATGTAGGGAGTCAGGAGTGGGGGAGGGGGAGGACTTGCAGAGATGGATGAAAACTTGGAAAAGCCACAGTTAGAAACGGGAGGGAACCTACTGGGAACTGGCAATCAAGCTGCACTGAAGCAACTGTCTTTTATTTGCATTTGCTAATAGCAATTAGCCACTTTTTGAACAAAGACCCAGACAAAGGGAGACACAAACCTTCCCTGAAATTGTTCAGTGAAAAAATCAGGGACTTGCAAACTCTAGCAAATTTCACAGAAGAACCTTTAACCTAACTTTTCAATTTTGCAATTGTACAGCTCTGGAACATTTCAGAGGGATTTCCTTCGCTGTCCAGAAGGAAAATATTATTGAACTAAAAAAAGTTTGAGACAATAGAAATTTGTTAAGAAATCTGGATTTTGTCTGATTCAGTTCTTTTTGACATTAAGAGGTTGATCTACTTTGTATAGAAGAGTGTTAAAGAAAACGTAGACAAAAGGCATTTAGGACCCTTATAGAAGTATTAAGTAGTGATACATGAAAACATTTATTTACAGTGGGCTTTGTTTTCATTGATTAAAAAAAAAAGGAACCACCAAAACTGTTCTTGCTAGAATTCAAAAAGACAATGAAAAGCTCATCTCCATAGTCTCTGAGGAATAAAATAGCTTGGGTGTGGTTATGTTTGGTGATTTAGCATGCTGAGTTAATTATTTTTCTTTTCTTTTCTTGAGACAGGGTCTCTCTCTGTTGCCCAGGCTGGAGTGCAGTGGCACCATCACAGCTCACTGTAACCTTGAACTCCTGGGCTCAAATGATCCACCCATCTCAGCCTCCCGAGTAGCTGGGACTACAGGCACATGCACCACCAAGTTTGACTTTTTCTGGGGAGGGGGGATGAGTGTCTTACTAGGTTTCCCAGGCTAGTCTGGAACTCCAGGGCTCAAGCGATTTTCCTGCCTTGGCTTCCCAAAGCACTGGGATTACAGGTGTGAGCCACTGCGCCTGGCCATTAAATTAATTCTTAAAAAAATGTCCTCCCTCTGGTTTTGGCAAGCAACTGAACTGAACTGAGACATAAATCTGTAGTCTTCGTTTTAGATTGCAGTTGAATTCATGAAGTAAAAATGTGCTTCTGACATGGTATTTTAAAAAAATGAACAACTGCTCTGTCTCAGCTGGCATGTCCTAAAAGAAGACAGCATCTGGATAAAATTCAACATAGAATTTTAGCTTTTGTGGCATTTTGAATAAAAACAGTTGGCCAAACAACTACCTATTTAAATTATTGAAAGCTGATGATTACAAATAATACTTCTGGCTGATAATTAGAGTGGAAGTAGAAATCATTCAGAATGCTATGAGGTTGGACAGGATTCCAGAATTAGTTTTCCCTTAAATAGAGTGTTGCAGACAAAAGCAGTTTGGTCTTCAAAGAGCGAGTATTCTTAAACCATTGCATTCACCAATGGGGGCTATGAAGATGTGGGTTAATTTACTTAACACTTCAGAGGTTTGGAGTTTTCAGACAGCCGCAAAGATGAGGCCAAATCGAGATTAAAATTGCTCATTCTTCTCTTGTTCTTTTCAAACACAATAACATCACGTTCTTAGAAGATGACTTGCCATACAGAGCTTTTTATTTGAGACCCAACACGGTAAAGAAACAAGGATACAATCCTCTTTGTAAAACAAAATGTAATTGAAAACAGCCACTAGAGGGCAGTGAAAATACTGGGGATGTTGCAATGCAAGTCCTTTGATCAGAACCTTAAAATGAAAGCTGTTTTGCAGGATTTTGAAAGCATTTGATTGTTTAGCAAATGAGAGACCTGAGGGGTGGGGGTGGGGGTAGAAGCAAGAGAAGAAAGTATCTTCTTGATCATATTAATGTAACATTAATGAAAGACAGCACTACCACGTCTGGCCCGAGCCTTCAGGACGACAGTTGTAGGACAGTGATTCAGCACAGATGATGTAATGAGGTCAGTCCCCCAATTCACTCTGTAATTTAACCCTGCCTACAATAGATCAAGGAGGCTGGGCAACCGTAACACAACAAAACACAAATCATTGGCATTCGACCTTACAGAACATTCAAAAGCAACAGTATTGGTAGGTTGTTTGCTGAGTGTGTGTGTGTGTGTGTGTGTGTGTGTGTGTGTGTCTGTTTAATGCAAGCAATGTCTTTTTAAAAGATTGTGAAGTCAGAATTATTACTTTAAAAAAAAATTCCCACAGCTCCATTTAACCCACGCTATTTGTGGGAGGTGAGAAAGAAATGACTCACATGATCGCTAAAATGCTTGTGAAAATGCAGATAAAATGGTGACAGACATTGAAACATTCAGCTCTGATTCTTTAAAAATCCTTGCAAAAAGAGAATTGGGCTGGAGGTAGGGAGGGTACAATCAAGAATTAATTCTAAGCACTCTGCAGAATCTTAGACCTTAAAGCTAGAAAGCATTTTAAGGTCCTCTGCATCATACAATATTTTCCATATTTCCAGCCTATAATTTTGCTTTTAGCCATTTCAAAGTAGAAAAATCTCTATACTGTGCTAGTACATCAAGAAGCAGTTCTCAAATCAGCTACCACTGAATTGACTATGGAAATGTGGCTGTAGATACAATTTGCAATTGTCAAAAGCAACCAAAGAATCTTTAGGGACTCTAGGCATAGGTGTAGTGAATAAGCACAGAAGTCATAGCCAACCCACTTTTATTTTCTAAAGCAGAGAACTCTGGCAACCAGTGTTGTGAGTTCCGTGGATGGCATGCTGGCTCCTTGAAGGAAAAGGCTCTTAGACACACTCAAGCTTGAACACACTCAAGCTTGAACGATGATGAGAAATAACCATATCCTTATTCTTCAGAGTAAAATGATTCATCCTAACTTGTTGACAGTAAAGAGAAAAAGTGTGATTCTTAGGTCCATGACAGTTTCTCCAATCATCTATCTAAAACATAGCTGCGATTGATTTATTGAACATATTTACTCATATATTTTTGTCAATAAGTACATATTTTTCATATAGGCACACAGAAAAGCAAATCATATGATCTACTGTAAGAATCCGATGAGGATTTTTGTGACCACATTTTATTCTAACCTCTTTTCTAATAATCTGTGTGACCCTGGATTTGCCTTTTTCCCCCACTTCCATACAAGATTTGCATGGAAGCAGTAGAATCAGACAAGCCTAAAATATTTGGCCACTTGGATTCACTGGGGTCATTCTACTTACTGTAAGAGACAAGAGAACCCGAATTAGCAATTCTAATATTCCTGAAGAAGTCTTCATAAGCTATAATGGTTCTGAGTACCAAAGAGGTTTTGTATACCTGGTCCAGTTACTGCAGGGAAAGAACCTAGACTATACTATCTTACTTCCAGGACACATTGTAAAATAAATCAGTCATATGCAAGGGTAAAAGTTCTGATTCTAAAGTGCCTGCAAGTCTGGGATGCTTTGGGGCCCTGTCAAAATGTGCAGTGGAATAGATTCTAGGAATTTCTCTCTGAAGCTTCCTTACTCTTCCCAGAAGAGAGATGTGTACCCTCATGGTTTCTAACTACCTTACAGATGGCCCTGACCATTTCATATTATAATTATTGTACATTCCTAAAGAGTGTGGTCATGTTACATAGGTAGCTAGTCAGGCATGAGCAGAGCAGGAGAGGGCTCCCCACCTACCAACCAGTAATGTCAGGTGATCATTAGGTGATGGTCAGGTGGTTGTTAACTGTCTCTCTAAAATAATAATTGGTTGCAGCCAGTGCCAGGGAAAGGCAGTCTTCCAATATAAAGAAAAAACCTGGAACTGGTGATCAGTAGCTTCTCAGTAAGATCTCAGGGGCTGGGTAAGTGGGCTCAAGCATGTGCATTAAGAAGCAAAATGGTGGAGTTTAACTGGTATATGACCCTCTAGGGTTCTAGGGGCAATCAACTGCTAAGGGAAGAATGCCTCAAGTAAGCATGCATATAACTCCAGTAAACACACCGTGCATGCTCACCTCCCAAGCGCTAGCAGGCCACTGCGCATGCCAACAGCCTTCCCTAAGGGAAGAATCATGTGAGAAGGGACACAAGACGCTGGAAGTGTGCCAACATATAAAAACCTAAGTCAAAAGTCAACCACACGCTTGATCTCTCATGTTGCCCACTTGGCTCTCTTCCAAGTGTCCTTTACTTTCTTTTGTTTCTCCTCTAAAGCTTTTTAATAAACTTTCACTCCTGCTCTAAAACTTACCTCAGGCCGGGCGCGGTGGCTCATGCCTGTAATCCCAGTGAGAGGTAACAGCATGCTGGCAGCCCTCACAGCCCTTGCTCGCTCTTGGCGCCTCCTCAGCCTTGGCGCCCACTCTGGCCGCGCTTGAGGAGCCCTTCAACCCGCTGCTGCACTGTGGGAGCCACTTTCTGGGCTGGCCAAGGCCGGAGGCGGCTCCCTCAGCTTGCCGGGAGGTGTGGAGGGAAAGGTGGGGGCGGGAACCGGGGCTGCACGCGGTGCTTGTGGGCCAGCGCGAGTTCCGGGTGGGCGTGGGCTCGGGAGGCCCTGCACTCGGAGCTGCCCGCCGGCCAGCGGGCCGGGGCAGTGAGAGGCTTAGCACCTGGGCCAGTAGCTGCTGTGCTGAATTTCTCGCCGGGCCTTAGATGCCTTCCCGCCGGGCAGGGCTGGAGACCTGCAGCCCGCCGCCATGCCTGAGCCTCCCCCGCACTTCGTGGGCTCCTGCGCGGCCCGAGCCTCCCCGAGGAGCGCCGCCCCCTGTTCCACAGCGCCCAGTCCCATCCACCACCCAAGGGCTGAGGAGTGCCGGCGCACGGCCTGGGACTGATAGGCAGCTCCACATGCGGCCCCTGTGCGGGATCCACTGGGTGAAGCCAGCCGGGCTCCTGAGTCTGGTGGGGACTTGGAGAACCTTTATGTCTAGATAAGGGATTGTAAATACACCAATCAGTACCCTGTGTCTAGCTCAGGGTTTGTGAAGGCACCAGTCCACACTCTGTATCTAGCTACCCTGGTGGGGACTTGGAGAACCTTTATGTCCAGCTAAGGGATTGTAAATACACCAATTGGCACTCTGTATCTAGCTCAAGGTTTGTAAACACACCAATCAGCACCCTGTGTCTAGCTCAGGGTTTGTGAATGCACCAATCGACACTCTGTATCTAGCTACTCTGGTGGGGACTTTGAGAACCTTTGTGTGGGCACTCTGTATCTAGCTAATTTAGTGGGGACGTGGAGAACTTTTGCGTCTAGCTCAGGGATTGTAAACGCACCAATCAGCATCCTGTCAAAACGGACCAATCAGCTCTCTGTAAAATGGACCAATCAGCTCTCTGTAAAATGGACCAATCAGCAGGATGTGGGTGGGGCCAGATAAGAGAATAAAAGCAGGCTGCTTGTGCCACTAGTGGCAACCCGCTGGGGTGCACTTCCATGCTGTGGAAACTGTGTTCTTTTGGTCTTTGCAATAAATTTTGCTGCTGCTCACTCTTTGAGTCCACACTGCCTCTACGAGCTGCAACACTCACGGCGAAGGTCTGCAGCTTCACTCCTGAAGCCAGGGAGACCACGAACCCACCAGGAGGAATGAGCAACTCCAGACGCGCTGCCTTAAGAGTTGTAACACTCACTGTGAAGGTTTGCAGCTTCATTCCTGAGCCAGTGAGACCAGGAACCCACCAAAAGGAAGAAACTCTGAACACATCTGAACATCAGAAGGAACAAACTCTGGATACGCCACCTTTAAGAACTGTAACACTCACCCCAAGGGTCCACGGCTTCATTCTTGAAGTCAGTGAGACCAAGAACCCACCAATTCCGGACACACCAGCACTTTGGGAGGCTGAGGCGGGTGGATCATGAGGTCAGGAGTTCGAGACCATCCTGGCTAACATGGTGAAACGCCAACTTTACTAAAAATACAAAAAATTAACTGGGCGTGGTGGCACACGCCTGTAGTCCCAGCTATGCAGGAGACTGAGGCAAGGGAATCGCTTGAACCCGGGAAGTGGAAGTTGCAGTGAGCCGAGATCGCGCTGCTGCACTCCAGCCCCGGCGATAGAGGGAGACTCCGTCTCAAAAAAAAAAAAAAAAAAAAAACTTAGTTGCTCCTTTTGCCTTATGCCTCTCAGTGGAATTCTTTCTTCTAAGGAGGCAAGAATTGAAGTTGTTACCGACTCATGGATTCACTGCAGGTCATAGGCATGCCTCACACATTTTTCAATTGACCAGGACTATCTTGCTCAACAGTAACTGAATAAAAGTGGACTGAATGAATGAGATTGCAATGCGGAAGGTAAGCAACAGATGGGGGTCACCCAACACTCTTACCTGAGCACCTTGATTATAATACACTCCAATCCATGATCCAGAGGCAAAACCCAGGGCTTCCACTCATTCATAGTGTCTGTGCTGACACAACCTACCCCTGCCTGATGTGCCAGCTGTTCAGCCTCTTTGCCAATGACAGTCAGCCTTGAGGTTCTTGAACACCACTGGACAATGTTAACTGATATTCCTCAACAAGGCATCTCTCACATTGAAGATGCTATATACAAAAGGAAGGAAGTGGGGGAAGGAAGGACGGACGGACAGACGGACTAGGTGGAAAAACATTAAGCTTAGTTTCTTGAATATAGGCAGACTGCTAATGCAGGCCATTTGTCGTTCCATTCTGAGCCCTTTCTGTCTCTCCATCTTCACCCTCAATAATGCCATTTGAATTGTCCATGCAGCTCCCATGATGATAATTTTGTAAAGTTGGTTGTTTTAGGAAGAAGTTGATTTCTTTGATCTCTTGTCTGGTTTGTAGCTATGTTCCTACTTATTCTTTCCAGGCTCTGCCGTTCTTCGGAAACTCCTCCATGTTACAGTGTTTGTGAAACTGCTTGCACTTTGATTATTTTTAATGTGCATTTCACCAGAAACCCATAGTACTCCTGTACTGGGAGTGAATCCTGCCTGCAGTGAGTGCTGATGAATGGAGGGATGAGCTAATATAACTAAAAGAAAAGGAAAACAATTAAACTCAATGCCAAAACGAACAATGAAATGCAATTCTGCTTGTTTATTTCTTCACAGTTGGGGCAAAAAAAAACCCTCAAAATTTAATGCAATCAATTACTACAAAATAACACCAAAATGGTTACAAAAATAAGTATGATGGTGCTGTCTTTAGTGTGTTTTTTCCTTTGTTCTTTTCTTCTTTCCTTCTTTTCCTTCTTCCTTTATTGCTTCCTCCTTTCTCCTTCATTTCTGCATTTGTTTTTTCGTGATTATACATGTAAGCGTATAAAATAAAGCAGCTTTTCTTCTTTTGAAAGATGAAAAGAGAAATAGGAAGGGGTCAAACATCCTGCAAAAATGGCAAAAATGTAACTGAACTGTCTTCAATATATGCTGTAATACCATAAATTCCTTTGTCATGGAAAACATTTAACATATTGGCAGACATAATTCTGGTATATCAACCATGTATATTTTAAGCTTTAATATACTTTTATATATTCAACTTCATTTCCATAACTCAATATATCAAAATGTAATGGTTTCCCAACTGTAAGAATCGCTGAGGACTTTCTATATACTCTTTAAGGCTACCATGTTTTTTCTTAACATTTTAGCAATCATTTGATTACTAAAAACAGATATTCATCCACGACATCTGTGCCAGCAACCAGTTAGTGGTTCACCAAACCACTTTGCCTTTCTTCCAAGTATACTGGTGGGCAATATATCATAGTTGTCTTTCCAGTTGGATGTGGCCTGTGACTGGGTATTGGTCAATGGAACCTAAATAGAAGTGATGGGTCCAACCTCCAGGCCTGGTCTATGACGTCCTCCTGCCCACAATTCTTTCTCTCTTATTTCCCTTTGCACCCAATGAATGGAGAAGTCTAAGGATCTAGAGGCTGAATTGCTGCCTGGAGGAAAGCTGTCCACTGGTCAGCCAACTAGGCTAGGCCTGCAAAACACGTGACAAATTAAGTTTTATTTTGGAGTTTTAATTCCAATTTTAAACTTTGAAATTTTGAAATTCTATGTGATAGTAGTTGGTCTGTCCCAGCTAATACACCAGTCTGAGAAAACCAATGTTATTCTGAAGCTCTTCATGATTCAAGCTGGAAGGGAAAAACCAAGTGGCTGAGAATTTGTGTGAATGTAGAAACCTGCTGGTTTCTCCTCATCACTCGTCCACGAAATGCCAGACTAAAGAGAGATAGCTGTGGCGGAGATACTGTGAATATTCAATTTGAAACACATTCAGTGAGCACAAACTCTGTGCCAGAAACCAACATGGAGAGTGTTCCTCTAGTCAGTCACTACTGAGGGTGATCAACTGCTCTTAACAAACGAGTAGAGACCCAGAAAAAAATACAACTTAATAAGACAACTAACTAAAGGGCTGAGTAGGAAGAAACAACCCAGGTATAAAGGAATGGGGGAGAAAGAGGCAGGGACATGAGAAGAAGGAGAAGGAGGTATAGAATGCAGGTAGGTAGCAAGGCTTGGAGAGATTCTTTAAGGCAATCTGGAGGTTTTGCAAGGGACCTTCAGGTCCTGCCCAGGAACAAAGAGGAAATAGTAGAAAGCACCAATCTTGGATCCAGCAGCATTTAATCATTAATTATCTAATCATTTAAGTATTTCATTCCCTCAGCCTCAGATCTCTCTTAAAAGAGCTAGGTTATTCCTGGTTTTGCATAGACAGTTTGCATTATAGTCTCCTAAACTGGAAACAAGCTAAAAGACTGGTCAGGGAAGTAGTTTCCCATTCTTTCCCAGGCGATGCTCCATAGTTATGCCACAAGTTACTACCTGAGTGTCTGATCAAAGTCTTAAGGGGTTTGTCACCGTTATAACTAAGCAATAGCAACCTCTGAGTCCCTTTTTTTTTTTTTTTTTTTGTCATAGTTAAGCACAGACCATCATGCAGTACCTTGGATTTCTATACAGTACTCTTGGTATGATATGAAAAAAAAATTCTGCCCTAAATTTTGTTATTCTCTGGATTTGGCTGCCACTGAGCCAGGTTGAGCAATCTATTTCTCTGAAGGAAACACCCATTATTCTGGGAAAATTTAGGCACATTCCTTCCTAGAAGAGAAAGGAAAGACTAAGTGGCCTTTGGCAGAATTTGGAGACCTAATTGTCTAAGAAAATGACATTTCACAATGGTGAAATGCCGTGGCAGTGAAAATTTTGATTTAACATCGCTCACGGTCTCCAAAAGATTCACAGTCTCCTTCCACATATATCACCCAACCCTGAGACCTCAGTTTGCTAATAGTCTCACTTACAGAGCTAGGGAAATTGCTTTGTCCGAAGCATCCTAGAGACTACCGCAGGCCTAGAACTGATGCTTTTATCAAGGGATAAATAGACAGACTAGAATCCTACTTTTCTCTTTTTTGAGTCACAGGGCCTTGAGCAGGTAAGGGGACTGTGACCTCTGGATCTCTATCTATAACGTTGCAGTAGGGTAGCTAGACAAGTCTCTTTTCTCCTTCACCCTTTTGACTAATTTCATCCTATCCAGTAGGTGAAGACAGATTGTTTGTATCCTCATCCTCAACTGAGGGGGTCTTTTAGCATAATATTGAGATCTTTCCTGATCAAAGGTGTTTGGGAATTCAGGAGCATTCTGACTTTTAGAATAATATGGTGGAAAATCACATGGGATGTCATACAGGGCCTGGGTAGCACCTATAATCAAACACTAATATTAACATTTTCAGTTAAATCTACAAATAGTCCCACATCAGGTTGGGTCCAATACTATCGCCAATGAAGTTAAAAAAACAAAGTCTTTGAGTTTTCAGAGGAGTTTGGATTTGGGAATTGCCCGCAAAGAATTGAGGAGCTCTTTACCCCTCTGCCCCCTGCTCCATAGTGGCCAGCTTTCTTCAGAGGTGGCTACAGAAGAGCTCACTTTCACCATGTGAAAAAGCACCTGACATTCACTCAGGCTGACCCAAAGGGAAGTCAAACCACTCACAAGGAAACAACTGACCCTTGATGGACTCCAGTCACATGACCGTTCCACCATGAAATTCATTCTCACCGAAATAACCACCTCCTGCGAACTCTCCATTTTGCAACAGATTTGGGAATAAAATAAAATTAAGGAATCTTGCCCAAAGCCAAGGTCACTACTGCCCAAGGTATATTTAACAATAAAAGTTCAGCCTTTCCAATCCCTGCCCCTGCCCCAACTCATGACTTACAGGACTTCTCTGCTTATTACTTTCCTGAAACTTCCATATGAGTGTGTGCTTATGTTGTATATGCCTTCTTCTTTAACCTCAACACAATGTTAAAAATACTTATTAAAAATTACTTACTTACTATTCTTTGTAAGAATTATTTTAATCATTTTATGTATGAAAAATTAAGCATTTATGAAAATTTATCTCAAAACTCACGTAATAACAGATTAATCATAAAAAGGGGATCAAGGCTGGGCGCAGTAGCTCACGCCTGTAATCCCAGCACTTTGGGAGGCTGAGGCAGGCGGATCACAAGGTTAGGAGGCAGGCAGATCACATGGTTAGGAGATCAAAACCATCCTGGCTAACACGGTGAAACCCTGTCTCTACTAAAAATACAAAAAGTTAGCCGAGCATGGTGGTGCATGCCTGTAGTCCCAGCTACTCAGGAGACTGAGGCAGAAGAATCCCTTGAACCCGGGAAGCGGAGGTTGCAGTGAGCCGAGATCGCGCTGCTGTACTCCAGCCTGGGTGACAGAGTGAGACTCTATCTCAAAAAAAAAAAAAAAAAGGTGAGGAGATCAAAAAGGGAAAAAAATTAAGGTGCTCTATAGTCTATCAGCGTATGTGTAGGTGCGTCAAGCCGTGTCTTTTACCATCATCTTTTACCATCTTTTCTTTCTTTTCTCTCCTATCTTTTACTATCATCTTGGGAAGAAAAAAAACTGTTTTAAAATAAATCTCATGCAAATTTTTGAATGAGAATCTGAATTTTAAAACACTTGACAGACGATTGTGACTTTTCTTTTAAAAAGTAGAAAAATTATTCTCACTTCAGTAGTATTGGCTTGAAATTTTGACACATAAAGGTATTCATGATTATTTTTATAACAGAAAATGGAAAAATAAAAAAACTTTTGAGACACTATCAATCTATTTTATGCACCATAAAAAGCAAAAAAAAGAGTAAGGTTTCATTAAATATTTATAAATGGACAAGAAGTATATTATAAATCAAAGGGATTCGCTTTAGCAAATAAGAAAATATTTTATAAGTATCTTAAAGTTAATGCCCAAATGTATATTTTAAAATATATTTAGTAATAAAAAGCCATGCTAATATTGCACCTTTAATGTAAACCATCATGTAGACAATCTTCCAAATGGCAGTTTTCAAAGATTGGAACATAATTTTTCTTCATCTACCTTCTATATTTGTAATTGTAAAACAAATCCAAGATGTAATTAGCTGTAACTCTATTTTATCTGAATTCAAAGACACAAGATGTTTCTCAAAGCCAGTGGCCTACCAAGAGCGAGATCTTAATAGAAGCAAAAACGAGTTGGTAACATTTTATTCCACATTAAAATACCAGAAACACAGAACTCTGGGGAACTGAAATTATTTCCCTCTTAAATTAGGAAAAGGAATAAATATGAAGATGTAGTTGAAGTCATTTTAAACTCTTTCTGTTCTTTTTAAATTTAGTATTATACTTGTGGTGAAATATGTGTAACATATATAATTTGCCATTTTAACCATTTGTAAGTGTGTGGTTTTGTGGCTTTTAGTACATTCATCACCACTATCCACCATCCCAAAACTTTGGGAAGAACTTTTTCATCTTTCCAAACTGCAACTCTGTAGCCTTTAAACAATAACTCCCCATTCCCCACTCCCCAAACCCATGGCCACCTCCATTCTACTTTCTATCTCTATGAATTTCACTATTCTAGGTACCTCAAATCAATGAAATTATATAGTATTTGTCCTTTTGTGTCTGGTTTCACATTGCATGCCTTCAAGTTTCATTCATGTTGTAGCATTTCAACATGTGTCAGAATTTCCTTCCTTTTAAGGCTGAAAAATATTTCATCTTATGGATATAACACATTTTGTTTATTCATTGATCTGGCTGTGGACACTTGGGTTGCTTCCGCTTTTTGGCTGTTATGAATCATGCTGCTTAAACTTTCTTTAATAAAACCTTTTCTTATATAACATTGGCCAGAAAAAATTCTCAGCATTATTATAACTGACACCGTTTGCCTTGAAATCTATTCAGCCTGGGATGAAACTCCACATTGCTAAGTAATACAACAAGTACCTTCTCAGAAGTTAAATGTTGTTTCATTAGTTGAAAAGTATACTTTTCTCAATCACCTTCCCTCCCAATCACTAAACTTAATTTTAGAATTTGTGTAACATAGAAATTGTAATGCGCCATCCCCTGTTATTACAAAGTCTGTGCCTCTGAAAGGTAGCAACCATTAGTGGAACTCACCAAGTTAGGAATAAGAACAGAGAACAAATCTTTGTCTCCTAATTTTCCAAGGAATTAAGTTGACATCAACTCTGTGGATCCATGTAAGCTTCAGAATCATGACAGTTCAAATCCCAGTGGATTCTAGGACGAATCTAGGTCTCTGTGAGCCCCACATAAGGAGGCTTATTATTAAGAGTTCATCTTAATATGACCCCTTGTAATGAAGTTTTGAAGGACAGACTCCCAAAAATTGTATCATAGAAGATGTTATGTAGAAGACATCTTAGAGCTCATCTTGGGCAATTTCTCATTTTATATCAGACCAGGAAGCCGTACTTTTCCATCGTAGCAAATGGCCACCCTCCTTAAATCATTTTTAAGAATAGGGAGGGAGATTAATCAATTAATAACATCCCATATCTTACTAAAAGGAAGACCCTAGCATAATGTAATGGTTTTCATGGCAGTTCACTAGCAAGTTATTTCATATTTTCAAGCTGCAGTGATTGGGTGCCATAAATCCAAACATTTCATCTCGGGAACTGCTATTAAAGTGGATGTGTTTATCAAAGGCCAGATCTTCTTGATAGCTTGCCTGATTGAATGCCTCCTGGAAGTGAACAATTCATGTGAGAGAATCATCACATTGTTCAGTAATACGATTATCATTTTGCAAGTCTAGGGCTGTTTCATTTCATGAAAATTAGGCTGCCCTTCTCACACTCGCCTTTCCTCCCAATCACCATCTTAAATATTGCCACTCAATGTCATTTCCTCATGAAGGCACAGAGAATAACTTTTGGATTTCATACTGTAAAGAAATTGTCATAAAACGCCCTACTGTTGCTACTAAATTTGTGCCACTCAAAGGTGACAACCCTGTCATCTGTTTCAAAATACTGTGCTCAGTCTCTCAAACAATGTCACAGAAAAAGTAAGCCAAAGGAAAAGAAGAAAAGATAATTCATTCATCTTGTTTGTCTGGTAAAGGATTCAATCATTGCAAGGAATGCTGAACAAACAGGTTTTTCTTGGGGGAGGGGAGATTCTTCACAATTCCAAATTTACAAAATCAATAAATTAGAAAAAGTGTTATTTATCTGTCAAAGGAATAATTTTTTTTAACATATGGGTTCTCTGAGCCTCTATTCTGCCTTTGGAATATTGCATGATTGCATTTCATTGACAGAACATAAATTATACCCAATACACCAAAATCAAAGTGCTTCCAGCCCTGTGATACTTGGGAGAGTGTATAAAAGTGTGAAACTAGGCTGGGTACGGTGGCTCATGCCTATGATCCCAGCACTTTGGGAGCTCAAGGCAGAAGGATTGCTGGAGGCCAGGAGTTCAAGACCAGCCTGGGAAACATAGAGAGACACCCCGCCCCCACCATCTCCACACACAAAAAATAATTAAAATTAGTTGGACCTAGTAGGATGTGGCTATAGTCCTAGCTACTCAAGAGGCTAAGGCAGGAGGATCGTTTGAGCCCAGGAGTTCAAGTTCGAGGCTTCAGTGAGCCATGATTACATCACTGCATTCCAGCCTGGGTGACGGAGAAAGACACTGTCTCTATTTTAAAAATAAAATAAAATAAAAATAAAAAAGCATGTGAAAATAAACACCAGTGGTGTGTGTGTGTATATATATATATGTTATATATACATATGTATAATATATTCATGTGAGATACACACACACACACACACACACACCCCTCTAATAAGTTGGGCAGAAAGTTTTCCTTTGCTGCTTTTCAAGTGTTCTAGCCTGAGGCCACATCATTCATACAGAGTGCTCCCTGCATGGAATCATCTGTAGCCTCTCCCATAGAAATGATTATAGCACTGATTTGTGAAAGATCAACTCTTGCTTTACTCATGAACCCTCTTTTCAATGTTGTCACAGTTATTCAGCAATACATAGTTCAAACAAACAAAAGAAGATAAAAATAAGCCAGCTAAGCCTGGAAATTCAATTTCCCATTTATGAATTAGATGAAGAAGGCTTTTTCCTCAGACTTTTTCTAGGGCAGCCAGCTGGCTTGTGTTTCATAAGCCAGTTCCAGCATGCACTCTTGTGTTTGCATCTGAGTAGTTTGTGATTTAACAGTATTTCTTGAATATTCACCCTAAAGAGAAAGAAAGAGAAACCACCATTATATCTCTGGATGAACACACATCCTAATTAGTTTCCTGAGCACTTATTAAGCAGCAGAAACTTTACATACATTTATGTACATCAGTAAAATAAATATGCACAGTGAATATTATTATCCTTGTTTTATCAAAAGAATTTAAGGAAAAATTAAATATCTTGTAAAACTCAAGCTCCAATATAACAACTGTTGATGTAGAAACACATTACAAGGGCCAGGCATGGTGGCTCACACCTGTAATCCCTGCACTTTGGGAGGCCGAGGTGGGCAGATCACCTGAGGTCAGGAGTTTGAGACCAGCCTGGCCAACAAGGTGAAACCCCATCTCTATTAAAAATACAAAAATTAGCTGGGTGTGGGGCGAATGCCTGTAATCCCAGTCACTTGCAAGGCTGAAACAGGACAATCACTTGAACCTGGGAGGCAGAAGTTGCAATGAGCCAGGATCGCACAACTGCACCCCAGCCTGGGCAACAAGAGTGAAACTCTGTCTCAGAAAAAAAAAAAATGACAAACAGATCCACAAGTTCACTTGAGTAAGTAAGTGCTGAAAGGATGGAAAGGGAGAGTTGGGTAAAGGAAGGTATTCATAAAACCAAAAGTTGCTGAAGCAGATAAGTTGCCCAGGTTCTTTTTAAAGAGCAAAAACATAACATTTCTATAAAATTCTTAAACTAATGCTTTGTTACACTTCAAACATAGGTCTAAATTATCATCCATTTGTGCTTTCTACCATGCCAATTTTTATTTAATGATAGACCATATTATACACTAAGTTTTTGATACCATACACATCAAAGCTCCAAGTGAATTAAGAACCTATGACTATATAATCACTATTGAGGAAATTTTGATGTCAAAAAGTGGCTCTATGTTAACAAGGAATTAATGTGTTATGACCAGAGTTTATAGGGCTCAGCCACTGCAAAACATAAAGCTCACTTTGCATAGTATAGGTACTAACACTCCCAGGTTCTTGCCATTCACCAAATTGATAGACTGGCCACAACAGATCACTGACCAAATTTTCAGTCACTATAGTTCTGCCATACTGAGAGTGGATCCAGGCAATGCAAGTAGGAAATTGAACAATAACCTGGTAAATAGGACAACTAATTTGGAAAATTTAAGACAAAACTACTTGTTCACAAGCAGGAATTTTGTGAGGCCTCAACTGCTTTCTTCATGTCAATTATATGCACCCAGCTTTAGTGTCCTTCGATGCGTTCAATTTTTTGAAGGCATGTGCAATGTTAAATGCAGGTCCTTGCCTTGAAAATAAGTTTCTGATATGAGAAAAATAAGCTTAATAAACAATTGAAGCTATTTTTAAAGGTAAAAATTGTTTCTTGCTTGAAAGGACAGCAACTCCCCAAAATGTGTTTAAGGGTAAAACTTTTGGAATCTTTGACTCAGCTTGTGCAAGCACTAGTCTATTACCCAAATTTCAAAAGACTTAGTTAATCTTTCTTCATAAGGAATAGTATTTGATATTACTGGGTTCATGTCATTCAGACATTTATGTCCTAAGCAAATCAAAGACCTAGTTATGCAGATTCATCATTACCTGCTTCTGTGTGTCACCACCAGGTTTCAGCAGGACTCAGCCAAAGGACAGTATTCCATTGTCTCTCTAGTTCATCTCTATAGTTTTCATTTCTAAAATAAAAAGGTTGATCTAAGTTTTGTTTTAGATTCTTTTCAGCACTTACTGTTGGCTAATTTGCAGCATGAGTTTGACTACAAAGACTTTAAAGCCAGAATAATAAATCCTAAGCAAAACAGATCTAAGGCAAGTTATTTTGGTGTTATATAGGTACGATTTTTGTAGAAACAGGGTCTCACTATGCTGTGGTGAGTGATAATTGCACTACTGCACTCCAGCCTGAGTGACAAAGCAAGACTTTGTACAATTTTAAAGGCTGGGTAGCCGTCACTTATTAGATTGGAATTTCTGTCATTGAATTTTATTGCCTGCCGGAAACCACCAACCTTGCTTCCAAGTGGAATAAAATGCGGTTTAGGTGAAGGTGGTAATGAATGCAAATCTCATGACCTAAGGTAATAGTTCTTAAATATCTCCATTCCTGCTTTGTCTCCAGTAATTGTAACACATTGAATATGGCCCCAACTTAACTTTGGCCACATCCACATGGAGAGCTTTTTTTTCTTTTGAGACAAAGTCTTGCTTTGTCACTCAGGCTGGAGTGCAATAGTGCAATTATCGTTGACCACAGCATAGTGAGACCCTGTTTCTACAAAAAAAAAAAAAAAAAAAAAAAAAATTTAATTAACCAAGCATGGTGGTGCACACTTGTAGTCCTGGCTACTCAAAAGGCTGAGGCAAGAGGATCACTTGAGCCCAGGAGGTCAAGGCTGGCAGTGAGCTGTGGCTGCACCACTGCACTGCAGCCTGGGCGACAGAGCAAGACCCTATCTCTAAAAACAAAACAAAAGAGCAAGAACTATTCTGTTCTTTCTTTCCCCACAAACCTATGTCCTCACACTCACTAGGCATGTTCACTCAATGGTCTTATATGAACAAAAGTCCCAACACTGAAAACATATTTTAATTGCTTTTACTTCTTTTCTAATCTCTGAAATAGCCATTTAAATGTTCTGTACATTATTTCCTATTCACCAATGCCACTAAATCTCTAAATATGACCTCATGAAGAAATACGTAAGTAAATTTAAAGATTTTCCACATTACAAATTTCATTTCAACATGTATTATAATTGTGAATTTCCTTTGTTCCAAATATGAACTTAAGCAAGTGACATTCACCTCCAGTTTTCAAAGAAATATCTTTGCTTGAATGTTTAAAGTCTGAATGTCATCTACCAATAAGATTTGAATCCCCATTATTTAATTTTCTCGCATGATGCTTGCTCTCACCGGCTGCTAATTATCTCTTCTGTGTATGCCTTTTTCTCTAAGTAAACTGTGGATTCCTCAAGGGCAGGAGCACATTTTATTCCTATAGACTCACAGTGACTGGCATACTAAATGTTTATTGATGATTTGCTGTATCTTATAAACTATCCTGGTCTAAAATTCACTTCAAAAGAATAGTGGTAATTACATCACCTCAATGATTGCAACCCACACCTTCTATTCCAGATAGAATGTTGTAAAGCTTTCCTCTAGTTTCTCTGGAAAAAGTTAAAAGTACAAAAGATAAGGAAAAAAGTTAGAAAATATTAGTGTACTATATAACATTCATACACCATTACTAAAATCAGCCAGTGTGACACTACTAGTAAAAGTGCCAAAATATAAGGTGACGTTTTGCAAAACCAAGTTCATGTTTAGTTCACTAAAATGTATATGACCTGCCCAAATACACACATAAAGAATTCATTCTGATATACCATGTGATGTACTCTTCCACAAAAGTATTGTGTCAGGTGCCATTCTACTGGAATTAGGGCAGGAAAGATCAGCTCAGTATTTGGGCCAAGATTTGGAGAGTCAGAATCCATTTCAACTGGAAAGAAATAAAGAACTTATTTTTTAAGAGCCCAGGTAGGTCTATGATAAACAGAATAATAGCCCCTACCCCTCGCCCAATACTCGATAACGTCATGATAATCACATTGGAAGGATTGCCACACAATTCATATTTAGAGGATAGTCAATGTAAAAGGAAAGAAGAAGTAGGGGAGGGAAGGAAGGCAGCTGTGGGTGAATCTAATTCAGCAAGTTCACACAAACATTGGTGTTTCTCAAAATTCAAGGCTTGTAAAGATTTTGTAGAAATGGACTATTGTGAGGAGAAATGTTATGAAGACTAGTTATTCAAATTTTTAAAAATAAAGAAAAAAGTTGTTTTCAATTCTACCAGGAATGAGCTGAAAAAAGTCTGCAGACAAATAGCCTCAATCTATAGATCAAAGCATTGCGAATAGCAGACTGAAATTTCTTTGGGGGCATGTATCAAATTTTATTCATTTTTTTCTATACTCATGACCCAGGAGAATACCTAGCATAAAGTAGGCATTTAATAAGTATTCAATGCATAAATAAATATAGGCTCTAGAGAAGTAGGCTCTAAAGTACTACAAAATAAAAAATGAATCATTCATTCTTTCAGCAAATGTATATTGAGTGCTGATTTTGTGCCAGGTGACGGAGTAATAAGAAAAATATTGTTCCTGCGGTCACGAAGCATCAAAAATTCCTCAGCCCTCAAGTACCCTCCAATCATTAAGCATCTTTGAACATCACTATTCCAGAGAGGTGCAGCTTTAATTTCATAAATTACCATTTCATTGTGTCAAGTTTGTACATTCTCAAAACTGAATTATTTGAAGCCAGGATTTTCTTATTTCTCACCCATGCCAATGAAACTATTTTCAATGACATTTTTCAGACTCAATTAAAAATGAATAAATCGGTCGGGCACGGTGGCTCATGCCTGTAATCCCAGCACTTTGGGAGGCCGAGGTAGGCGGATTACCTGAGATCAGGAGTTCGAGACCAGCCTGGCCAATATGGCGAAACCCCGTCTCTACTAAAAGTACAAAAATTAGCTGGGCGTGGTGGCGGGCATCTGTAATCCCAGCTACTCAGGAGGCTGAGGCAGTAGAATTGCTTCAACTCGGGAGGTGGAGGTTGCAGTGAGCCGAGATTGCGCCACTATACTCCAGCCTGGGTGACAAGAGTGAGACTCTGAAAAAAAAAAAAAAAAAAAAAAAAAGAATAAATAAAAGCTCCAGTCCAAAAGCAGTTTATCTTCTAAGGGAATCCCCTGCCTCTAGATCCAGAGCTTCCATCACTCCCAATTAGCTGAGACAATTTGAGAAAATCCAGGTAATACAGTGACAGTGGGTGTCCCAAGTGCAAAGAGAAAATGGGAAGGACTTCAATTTCATGAAAGAAGTGGGATTGAATTTTATTAAACATCATGGCTGGGAATAACTGAGCTAGAGGACATATCCTCTTAGGCTCCCAATAGGCCAGGGATCTTGTGACATTCACAGGGTACAGTGAGCAGTGCTGGATAATGTACATGCTCAATAAATGAATGAATGCCTGATGATCAGAGCCTGAGCCAAATTTTTCTTCCCAGAAACAAACTGTTTCCTGGTTTAATAAATAGCATACCCAGTGTGAGCCCTAGAGACACACAGGGCTCTAATCTTCTTCTGGTTCTAATGATGGAGGAGGCAAGCAGAGATTAGGACTTGGTTAATAGTTTGTTTAGTCATCATTTCTTTAGTTTATCAACTTTGCCCTGGCAGCACTCACTGGCCAGTACACATCGCTGGGGAGTTCTGATCTTCCCCGCCTGTGGCAAATGTAAGCACAGAGCCAAGCAGAGTGTTGCAACCCTGTACCATTTAGAAGGAAGGCAAAAGGGGAACTGTTCCTTTCAGTGCCTAGTGGCTTTGGCTAGACCAAATTTAAGATCCCCCCTTTTTTTTTAATTAGAAAAATTCTTGAGTGTCAGCCTCAGGAAAATATATGTAGTGGACAAAATATTTTTGATCCTCCCAGGATCTCTTTGCTTCCTCCCTTGCCCTGGTCCCTTTCCCAGCTCAGAGGCTGTCCCTGCATCATGCTTCCTGTGTCAAATCTTGCTGCTAAGGGTCTCCTCTCATTGGAAGTACAAGCTCCATTAATCCCCAGCTGACTAGAAAACATTCTGATAGGCAATTGTGCCATAATTGTTAGCAGCCTGAAGTGTTCCTCCTAAGGAATCCCGTCTTTTAACATTGAGTGAATGGAGACCTTTTCTTAGCCTCAAGAAATACAATTGAGCACCTATGATTCTCACCAAAAAGCCTTCTCAACCAGCAGGAGTCTTATTGTAAGTTTGATAATGGCCACCCCTCTGGAAATCCTGTCCACGCTAACATAATATTCCCAGGAGTCAGACAAACAGCATCATAGCATGTAGAGATCAATCATGTACTAGGAGGTTCTCTCTATTGACTTGCAAATGAGCAAGGTGTCAGAGGAAGGATGAAACTGTATCATGCAATGTGCTGATCCGGAGGGGTTTTTTTTCTGCAAATCCAGCTCCATTTTGGAAGACACAACAAACATCCCAAAGGTGTTTTATGCTCCTGTAAAGTTAATATTTCCCTGCTTGCAGAGATGTTCTTCTTTTGCCCTTGGAAAACACTCTAGTAGAATTTCACTGTATTATGAACAGCTCTGCCAAGAGTATATTTTTAGTCTCCTTTAGTGATTTCCATATATCTCTATACCAGTATATCTCTAAACTGCATGTAATCTGTTAAATAACCACCAAATTATTTAACAGATAACATGGAGTTTTTTTAAACAAGTGATGCTAACTAGTTCTTTTTAATGCAAACTGTAAATGCTGTTGCTACACATAATATTATGCTGATCCAAGACATACCAGTTAATAGCAAATTTAATTTGGGAAATAATTTGTGTGATATAAACAGTATCATCTTCCTTATAGTCTTTAGTGTAGCAATGGTTTATGTGACCTGAGGTTGACTGTCCAAGCCCTGTGAAGAAGTTCATTAATGAGATAGGGTTATTTAGGTGGATGGTTTGTCAATATGTCTAAAGTGTCATATACAGCAATCATTTTTATGACTACAAACACTAGAGAGGCTATTTTAAAATCACAACTAGGGAAAGATAAAAACATGGACTGCAATCATTGTAGCTCTTGCCTGTCCTTTTAGGTCTATTCTTTGGTTGGTTGCTACTAGCAACAAGAAAATTCAGCTAAAGAAATTTTAATCAAATAGATTCTGCTCTGTACCTCACTGATCATATATTCTGTTGCATTGAAAAGCAGAGGAATTCACTTGAAATCAATAATCTGAAATACAAATTCTTTTGGAAGGAACTATTAAACGTCTTAAAGCAGCAATCATCAATCATGAAGATTAGGTTGTTGGAGCCATGAAAAATCACCTCCATGGAGCTGATGACCATCTTTCTGCTCTGCAGCATGTGGAACTGTGAGATTTGCTTTTCTGCTCCTTCATAAACAGGGGCAGGAATGAAATGAAATACCCAGTACTCATCTCAGAAATTAATCTGAGCCTTCGCATTGTTAATTGTAGTCCGGGAGGTTTTGATTATTTGAACATAAAGGGAAATAAAAAGAACTTTGAAAAAAATCTTAATAAATAAATCTTAATCCCACAGTAATAACATACTGTAACTGAGGCTGCTCTTAACTGAGCATTTACTATGCCAGGCATTGTGCTAGATGTTTATATATCTTAACTCACTAATTCCTCATGTGTCTGCAGATAGAAGAGCTTTTCTTTTTGTCTTCATGAGGAAACAGAAACCCAAAGAGGTTAAGTAATATGCCTAAAGTCAGACCACCAAAAAAATGGCAAAGGAGAGTGAGACCTGATTTTACACAACTTCAAAGGCCTTGCTATTAATTTTAACAGCAAAACCAGCAATTACGTTTGCACCAACCTATTATTTTTCACTCTGCCACACTGGTTCCCTGAAAACACAGAAAGCTATCAATCATTCACAGTATCTTGTACGATAGGGTCAAGGAGGGCCTCCTATTTTCTAGGCACTTTACATATATTATCTCCTCAAAAGCATACTGTGACCTTGTGAAGGAGGTATTTAGAATATTAACATCCAAACCCATTAAGGGACTTTATGAAGATTATAGAAATACGAGGTGGCAGAACTGGCATTTGAAACCAGATCTGTCTGACTCAAACACATGTCCTTTCTGCTCTCTTATCCCATCTCCCACAAAGTAGAGCCTTTAGATAATGCTGATATTGGTGGATTGAACAAAGATTGTCTTAGATGAGGCTTTTTTGTTGAATGTGGCTAGGTTTCAGAGGATAATATTTGACCTATGTCAGAGGTAAATCCACATACATCACAAATTACTGTATAACAAAGTTCTCCTATATCTTCTAGTTTTTATTGCGGACCACAAATCTCCATTAATTTTTTAAAATTATATTTGGCATATTTTTAAAAAAAAAGATAAAACATAATGGACCAAAAGAATGCTATGGTCAAATGGCGTAGGAATAAAATGCTATTGTTCATTTGTACCCTATCTAAACTTTTACCGATTCTCTTTGAATGTCACTTAAGAGGAAAAAAACTAAACTAAAAATTCAAATTTAAATGGAAACTGACACCAAACAATTCATTGATCAAATTGCCATTTTCTATGGACCAAATTATAACTTTCTTTCTAGCTTTATTAAGGTATAATTTACAAATAAAAATTGTAACTATTTAAGGTAAACAATGTGAAGTTTTGATGTGTGTATATATATATGTATATATAAATTGTGAAATGATTGCCACAATTAAGCTAATTAACATATCCCTCACCTCACATAGTTACCTTTGTGTGTGTGTGATGAGAACATTTAAGATTTACTCTTAGCAAATTTTAATTATATAATACAGTATTACTAGTCACCATGATATTTGTTAGATAATCCACAATTTATTCATTGTGCGTAACTGAAACTTTTTACCCTTTGATCAACATCTCTTTCATTCAACAAATTCATGGCATTTGCAAATTTCAACATTATGTTAAACTGACACAAAAACAAGTAAACCTCTCATCTAGACAATATTCACCCTGAGACCCTGTATTAAGAGCAAATGCAGACCTAAAACCAATACATCTTGAATGGAGTCTACATGGATTAGTATATTGCTGGGAACCAAAGAAGGTAATGGCAGTGAGAAATCAAGTAGAGGTTCTTGTCAACAATGAATGGCAAAGAGAGACTGGAAGCATAGAAAGGTGGCGAGAGGACAGGCATGGTGGCTCACAGCTATAATCCCAACACTTTGGGAGGCTGAGGTGGGAGAATCGCTTGAGGCCAGGAGTTTGAAAACAGCCTGAGCAACATAACAAGACCCATCTCTACAAAAAAAAATTTTTTAATCAGCCAGGCATGGGGGCACACATCTGTAGTCCCAGCTACTTGGGAAGGTGAGACAGGAGGATTGCTTGAGCCTGAGAGTTTGAGGCTGCAGTGAGCTATGATTTTGCCACTCCCTGGGCAATAGAGCAAGACCCTGTCTGAAAAAAATACAAAGAGGAAGGAGGAAAGGAAGCAACGAAGGAAGCAAAGAAGGAAAGAAGGAAGGAAGAAAGGAAGGAAGGAAGGATAGAACTTCCCTATTTTGAACAAATAAGATTATGCAAATATTTTCAATTTTGCAACACCATTTGTACATAGACAGAAAGACAGTGTGAACAAGGCCCCTCACATGCCCCAGCATTTTGTACAAAGACATGATGACATTGTCCAATGTTCTTTCCCCTCAGACCACTGGTCCTCACAGTTCACAACCCCAGTCCACTCAGCTTCTTTCCTGACCTTTGGCTTTGTTAAATTTCCCTATTGTTTTTCTTTAATTTTCTTGATTTCTGCTCTTGGCTTTATTTCCTTCTGTCCATGTATTTTCACTTCACTTCTCATTTTCTGTCTTTTGAAACTGGAACCTTAAATCATTGACTGTAGACCTTACTTTTTGCCTCATATAAGCATTTAAAGATTTCAGTTTCCCTGTTAAGTACTGCCCTTTACTGCATCCCACAAATTTTGATATGTTATTATTCTATTATCATTCAATTTGAAATATTTTCTAATTTGCCTGTTACTCTTTTGATCCACGGATGATTTAGAATTCTGTTGTTTAATTTCTAAAATTAGGAGTCTCCCTAGATATGCCATTGTTACTGATTCCTAATTTAATTCTGTTATGATTGGAAAAGACACTCCGTATGATCTTAATTATTTCAAATTTACTGAAGCTCATATCATAGCCTAGCATAATAAAACTACTGTGTACATTTTTAAAGCATATGTATTTTGTAGTTGTTGGGTACAGTGTTCTATAAGTACCAGTTATGCTATGATGGTTGATAGTGTTGCTCACATAATGTATGTCCTTACTGATTTCTTTATCTAGTTGTTCTACGGATTAGTGAGAGAGTGGCATCAAAATCTCCAAATATGATTGTGGAATTGTTTGTGTTTATCTTTAATTCTCTCATTTTTGCTTCATGTACTTGGAAGCTCTGATATTAGATGTATGAACATGTATAATTATTGTGATTTCCTGGTGAATTGATTCTTTTATCATTATGAAATATTCCTATTTATCTCCAGTTATACTCTTTGTCTTGAAGTCTGTTTTATCTGACATTAATATAGTCATTCCAGC
Source organism: Homo sapiens (assembly GCF_000001405.40). NCBI lineage: Eukaryota > Metazoa > Chordata > Mammalia > Primates > Hominidae > Homo > Homo sapiens. The sequence goes on along the minus strand of NC_000013.11, from coordinate 77,455,474 downwards.
ATTCTTATGCTGTTTGTATGGCACATCTTTCTAGGTCTTTATAGTTAAAGTGTATTTCTTGTAAACAATACATAATTCGGTCTTGCTTTTTAAAATCTGTTTTGACATTTTGTTTCTAACATTGTCTAGTACAACTTTCTGTGATAAAATGTACTATGTCTGCACTATCCAATACTATACCACTATCCACATGTGGCTGTTGAATACTTAAAATGTGTTTAGTATAACTTTAAAAATGCTTTTTTAGTTACTATATTTATATTTAATTAATTTAAATTCAAATCACCACATGTGGCAGTGGCAGACTACATTTTTTAACATTTAACGTAATTGTTGATATGGTTGGATATAGATGTGGTATAATGAAATATATATATATATATATTTGGTCTTTTGCTCTGGTTCCTGGCATAGAGGTCCTAAAACTCTTGGAATTTTCTGAGTGACAACTGTTTTTTGTATGCTAATGAGATGACTGAAGGAGAAAGGGGGCTGGTTGCTTAAAAAAAAAAAAAAAAAAACCTACTTGGTTAGAAGGCCAAAAATTTCAACCTCGAGGGAGTGGAGAGGGGCTGGAGAGGGAGTTTGACCATGAATACCAATGATATAATCAATCGTGCCTACATAATTAAACTGATAAAAATCCCTAAACAACAGAGTTCACAGAGCTTCCAGTTGATGAACACATCAGTGTTCTGGGAGAGAAGTTTTGTGTCACCACCACCACCCTCCTGCCATACCTTGTCCTAGGCACCTTTTCCATTTGGATAGTCCTGAGCTGTATCCTTTATAATAAACCAGTAATCATCAGGAGTTCTGTTTCCTGAGTTCTGTAAGTCATTCTAGCAAACTATCAAACCTGAAGAAGAGGTCGTGGAAATGCTTAAATTTGTAGATGACCAGGAAGAAGTGTGGGTAGCCTAGGGACCCCATTTACAGCTGGTAACTGAAATGAGGGCAGTCTTGTGGAACTGAGCCCTTTAACTTATGGGATCTGATGTTAATTCCGGATAGTGTCAGAATTGAATTATGTCTGATTGGCATGGGAGACTTAGAGAATTGGTTGGTGTAGGAAAACATCATACAACAGGTCTACTATTTTGATTATTTTCTGTTTTGTGTCCCTCTTGAATAATTGCTATTGATCTATCTCCAGGTTGTCTGACACTTTCTTTTTATGTAAGCTCTAACTCCACTGTATACTCCATTTCTCTACTCCATTATTTGGAATCATATTACTCACTGTTCAGTACTCAGTTTAGTGATTTTTGCTCTTCAAAGAACTTCCTGAATTCCCATAAATGGATCTAACCATTTCCTTCTTTGCTTCCCTGCTAGATCCTCTACAGTGATTTTTCCCGGTACCTCTAGCTTTATTGTTAGGGGTCTTCCTCCTAATTGTTTATGTCATGTTCATCTTTGATCTGTCCTCCTAAGGCTGTGATCGACTCTTCTAATATTATGATTGATTTCTTTTCTTAGAATCTTTTTTTTAAATCTCATTAGATCCACTAGAAGAAGACCATTTCCTAGAATAGAACTTTCTCCCTGCATGGACTGGACTGATGTTAATAATTCTATTCTCCAAATTCACCTAACTGAAAAGTTATGAAAGTAGCCCCCTCTCAGGAAAAAAACCCAACAACAGCATATCCTTTGTTAAGACAGTGCCTTGTTGCTATTAGATTGAATTCAAAACCACATCAATGGAAATAATAATTTAATCAACAAAAGGGATCCTGAATTCCAGCAAAGAAGAGTTTGTAGAATTCCCTCAGAATTTGTGAAATAGGCAACAAAATATTTGGTATTCACTAGAAAGACAAAAGAACCTGTTGATGTTTACTAAACTTATTCCTAGGACAAATTTCCTAGCCCATCTGAGCATAGCAGGGTGTAGTAGAAAAAAAAAAGGCTCCAGAGTAAAGCAAATCTGGTTTTGAATCCCAGGTCTGATCCCTAGTGGTGTGACCTCCAAGATGTTCCTTACTCTCTTGTCTCTGCTTTCTCTATAAAATGTGAATAATGGTACTTAATATGTGCCATTGTTATAAGTATTTTAAAGTGTATATTTAAAGCACCCAGCAAGTTGTCTGCATTGAATGAATAGAAACAATGAATATTTTTATTTCTGTAATCATCATCATTATTATTTATAGTACACATCTAGCTAAGTGATAAGTTCCTTGGAAACAAGTTAGGGTATGTTAAGGCTGATTTTGGAGATGTCCCTGGCAATATATTGCATTGTGCCCAAATTCAAGTCTCCAAAGTTTTATTCATTACAGCTATTCCTGGGGAATAAGTAAACCTGTGAGAAGGGAATTTCAGACCAAAAAAAAAAAAAAAAAAAAACAGATTCTGTAGGACTACCTCTTAACAACAGAAATTTGCTGGGCACTGGTGCTAATTGTTTTTTATGCATTATCTAACTTAATCTTTATAACTTTATAATCTTTAAGATAGGGGATATTGCAAATGAAGAAAACAAAGCCTTTCGGAGGTTAAACAACTTGCCCAAACTCTTACAGTAAAATGCAAAGCTTGGATTCAAAGTCTCATCTCTGAAACCCTCGCCCATTAATTTCCACTCAGTCCTGTTGTCCAGATGATCCAAACCCCCTGTGTTTCAGTCATCCTGGCAGCTCACCTGGCCAATTCAATGTTTGCACCTGCTTAACCACGAAGCCAACATGACCCAGAAAATAAAGTGCCATGACATTAGGAAATCATATCTTTTAAAGGTGCTACAAATGAAAATGTCTAATAAGGCAGGGAGCAACCAATATTGGTGGGCATTTGCAGTTCTGAGTTAGGACTCACTTTTCTTCCTAACACTTTGCTGTTTTTCACTAACACTCACAAGGGTTGGCCTCTTGGAGTTTCCCATGCTCCCACCCATGTTTACCAATGGAGAGAGCAGAGCTGGCTTCTGTCTGCAGACCTCACCCACACAACAGTCAGTCATCCTCAGAGCCAGCAAAGGGACAGGTTCTCTACTTTGTCATCAGAATTCTTTCCATTTTGTTGCTCCAGGTTAATGAGTGAGAAACTTCAGGCCTAGAGGGAACAACAACAGATATTGAGATTCATTGCAGAGATCATATTTTTAAATGCATTTGAGGACAAGAAGCCAATGTTCTAATGTGAGGATTTGTGAACTAAATTGAAACATTCTCTTTCACTAAAAATGACTAAAATTTTTTTGAAAGTGGTTTTGTGGTCCTTATTAAAAATAAATAAAAATATCACTCTATCACTCCTAAAAGGCATGCTGTAGCAGAGCTATGATCGAGGCAAGAGGTTTCTAATTAGGCTTTTGTTTTAAGAAAGGTACGCTGATTTAACTCCTAAATTTTTGGAGTGTGTGTGTGTCTAAGTGACATGTAATGGAGTTTTAAGATTTAAGTTTAATAAACTCTTCCTGGGAAATTATTATGATGATAATCATTTGCAATTAGTCAAAGCTATTCAGAGAGTCACTAAGTCCAACAGAATTCCTTCATCTCTTGATATGAATCAGGTTGCCCCTAAATTCCCACTTAGCACAGAAAAGCAACATATGTATGTATGCCTATGTGTGTGTTTGTATGTATATGTGTATATGTTTTGTTTGTATGTGTGTGTATATGTGTTTGTGTGTGTTCACATGTATACATTCCTGCAAGTATCTGAAAGAGAAAGGCAATTCACATTTTTTAGACTTTGGGTTTAGCTAATTTTTTTTCTTTTTTTTTTTAAGAAGGAGTCTTGCTCTTGTCAACCAGGATGGAGTGCAATGGTACGATTTCCACTCACTGCAACCTCCGCCTCCTGGTTTTTCTAGTGACACACCTTACACAAACTGAGAAGTATGAGACAAGAAAGCAGTAGACAAATTTATAGAATGTTCCAAAAACTAAAATGTACAGGTTCAGGGCTCAATTTTTTTTTTTTGGTTTCCAAAATTTAAAAAGATCCTATAAAATTTATTTATAGCTTACCATATAAAGAAGAAAGGAACTAATCTATCTAACATACTCTCCTTGAAAAATAAAGACTGACATGGATGTTGAATATGGTATAAATCAATAGAATGCAAACATTTTATTTTTATATCTTTTTAAGCTGGGCAGAACTGGTACTGTCTTGATTAAGAAAGACAAGAGGACATTTGCCGTCACCCTACAAAAAAAAAAAAATCAAAGAGAAGATGAGGTAAACCAGATTACCATATACAGTTGTATATTTGCACACTGCTTAAACATGCCTGACCAAAAGATCAAATGAGGTTGGAAATGTAAGTTCTAGTTGCCTAGCTGGACTCTATGGGTCTCTAATGTGGATAAGCCAAATCAGAGAGAGTATACCTGACCAGTGTATGTCTTCTCCTAATTTATCCACCCAGGGAGAGCACTTTTTCTAAGGCCCTGTAGAGGCTGGCTGTGGCCTGATGAAAAGATCACATTCTTCATGACATGCATTTTCTTGTTTAAATGTAAAATTTCTTAGGCTTAATTTCTTTCTTTTTTTTTTTTTTTTTTTGAGACAGAGTCTCGCTCTGTCGCCCAGGCTGGAGTGCAGTGGCGCGATCTCGGCTCACTGCAAGCTCCGCCTCCCGGGTTCACGCCATTCTCCTGCCTCAGCCACCGGAGTAGCTGGGACTACAGGCGCCCGCCACCACGCCCAGCTAATTTTTTTTGTATTTTTAGTAAAGACGGGGTTTCACCGTGTTAGCCAGGATGGTCTCGATTTCCTGACCTCGTGATCCACCCGCCTCGGCCTCCCAGTCTTAGGCTTAATGTCTTACATGATTCATTCATTCAGCAATTATTTATTGAGTCCTTTGGCTATGCCAAACACTGATGCAATCAGAAACAAAACATAGTGCCTGACCACAGAGATTTTAGTCTAAGGACCAGGGAGCTTGTCACCAGATGCAATTATCTTTCACTCTTCATGGGGCTCTGTTCCTAAAATTATTGGGACTATCAAAATTACTGGGACTATCAAAACTAAAGCTGGCAAAATTAAGATCTGGTAGAAAATAAGAGGTTTGGAGAGATCTCATTTCCACAACAGAGCAGATTCTCCCATGTTAAAAACCTGCTCCAACAGTGAACGTTTCTCTTGATGAATTTTATTTAATTATTTAGAAAACGTTGTCGCATCGCTGGCATCTGGGAAATTATAGAATTTCCTACCAATTCCATAATTTGTGGACTCTAGAATTAGTTTCCCTAAGTCTAACACAAACTCTACCTTTTATTAATATATGACCTAAGGCAGGTTCTGTGCCTCAGTTTCTCATCTGTTAGATATGGATTATAATAATGTAATGCTTTTACCATATGAAATTCTTATGATTAAATGAAATAAATCACAAAAAGTGACATACATGAATACACATTCTCTATTTTCTTCATTTTTTTTAAGTTGCAAATCTCATGTTGCTGGTAAGTTTGAATGTAATGGCTTTGGGTTGTTTGGGGTTTGTCATTGTTTTGTTTTTGCACTTAGACTGTCCCTTGGTTTATTTTCACATTGTCAAAGTTCTCAAAAAATTTGTCTTTGCTTCTTGAGTTTCTCACAGCCTCTCAGGTATCCTTAAGTTGAGGGCTGATTTTCTGAATCTGAAAAGTACAGAGTAATATTTTACAAATATTGGTTCTGAAGTCAGACAGTCCTGAGCTTAAACTTGCCTCTGCTGCTCCTCAATTCTAATGCCTCTGACATCAGAGTCAGTCTTACAATGTGCACATATAAGGTCATGTTTCCTTCTCTCCCTGTAAAGCTGTTGTTAAACCTATAATGTTTTGGTTGTTGCTTTGAATTTTTGGTGGGTTTTTGCCTTGTTTTGTTTTATTCTGACGATCTTCATATCTAGGAAACAAATTATTTCTGTTTAAATAAACAATTTAAACTCTGTAAGTCACTGTTTCTTCATTTACAAACCTATGCTACACATAAACTTATTTCTTAAAGTTGATATAAAGAATAAGTGAAATAATGCATATACAATGCTTGGCATAGTGCCAGGCGTGTAGTAAATGATTTATACATGTTAGTCATTAATAATTTGTATCTGCATTTTGCATTTAGATATTGAAATATGGTTAGATCCCCTTTCTCTACAGTAAACCATAAACTGGGCCCCATAAGGGTCTCTGGTTGGAGGAGTCATTATCATTACTCTTTTTAAAGGGAAATGCATTAGAATATTACAGATCTTAAATGTTGGGTGTTATAAGTGGGGGATGGCTATAGTATGGTGTCTATTTTGACAGGCTGAGTGTAGAGACCAAAGAAAATTCACAGATTAGCCCTCTGGAAATTATCTGTGGAAAGCATCCTTGGGGATGTCCCTTAGTCTATTTGTGTTGCTATAAAGGAATACAGAAGGCTGGTAATTTGTAAAGAAAATAGGTTTAGATGGCTCCCCATTCTGCTGGCTAGAAGAGTGGGCATCTGGTGAAAGCCTCAGGCTGTGTCCTCTCGTGGCAGGAGGTGAAGGGGAGCTGGTGTGTGCAGAGATCACATGGTGAAAGAGGAAGCAAGAGAGCGAGTGGGGAAGGGCCAGGCTCTTAACGATCAGCTCCCACTGGAACTAACAGAACAAGAACTCACTCATTATCATAAGAACGTCACCAAGTCAAGAGGGATCCATCCCCATGACCAAAACACATTAGGCCCCACCTCCAACATCAGGGATCAAATTTCAACATGAGGTTTGGTGGTACAAACATCCAAACTCTAGCAGGAAGTGACCACTAGACTGAAACCTGGAGGACAGGCAGGAGCTAGCCAGGTAAGCAAAGAGGAAGGAAATCTACAAGCAAGGGAACAAGATGCACCAAGTCCCCAAGGTGAGAAAGAGCTTGGTGTGTTAGAGAGACCAATCAGTGTGATTAAATTATGATTTGCCATATTTAGAGAGTATTGCATATTTGACCATAAGTAATGAAAGAACATCTTTCAAGCTTAGGGGAATTGTTCCTAAAACACAGGCTTTAGATTCTTAAATAACTCAGAAATCAATTTAAACCCTTTCTTTTTTGAGATAAGAAAACCAAAGCCCAGAAATGAATGAAAGGGAAGAGAGGAGATAGAGAGATGGTAGCTAACATAATGGGCATCTATTATGGTCAGGCAAGTGACATCATACACTGTTGAGGCTCAGAAAATGATATCCCAAAGTGAAGGCCTCAGAAGCAGCTCACTCTGATTTTCTCCTACTGTTCTGTTTCTGGCCCCTCATTCTTCCCTGAGGCAAGCCATAGAAGCTAGAATCCCTCTTCCCCAAGACAGATCATAGAAATCAGAACCTGTTTCCCCCAAACAGTCATGAAACCTAAAAATCTAACTCTACCTTTCCCTTTACCTTTCTGTGTAAAAATTGGTTATAAAAGAATTATCTGACCTACCTGGTTTGATTGTAGGTCATAAAACTTCCACTCCAGAGAGTGTCCTGCCTCATATCCGGAGGGAAGGAATGCTGCACAGGGATGCCAAGAAGAATCTGAACAGACAGGTCTTCCTGAGTTTCCCCACTCAGTCCATTAACAGGGGAACATATCCTTTTTGTCCAATCCTATTTCTATTTGGCTATCCATAATATGTTGAACCTAAGCAGAAAAATGGACAGTTTCCCCTGTATCTCTGGGTCTTCATTCTGAAGGCTCCTGTATCATATCCAAACTCTGATCAAATAAATTTGTATGCTTTTTCTCCTATTAATCTATCTTTTGTCAGTGATTTGCAATGAACCTTCAGAGGGTAAAAGGGAAGTTTTCCCTTTGCCCCTACAACATACCTAATAGAAGAGGAGATTGAAATAGACATGTTCAATAACTCACTCAAAGCCATAGCTTTAGTAAGGGTAGAGCGAGAATTCAAATCCAGATTTGCAGTTCTCAGAGTCTAAGATTGTTTTTGTTAGACCCCTGTGGAACTTGCCTGAGTTCATCCACATGTGAACTTATCTCCACAATGGTGTTGAAATTGTTCGTATGTTCATTTCTGTACTCGTCTGTGAGCTTCTTGGCAGTCTTTTTCTATTTGCAAGCACAGCTCCTGGAAGATGGATAAATTCAACGAGATAGTGGATGGATGGATGGAAGGATGGATGGATGAACAGACGGACAGACGGACGGGTGGACGGACGGACGGATGGATGGATGGATGGATGGATGGATGGATAGATGAATGGATGGATGGATATTTGAGACAATAGTTGAATGGATTTTTCTGAAGTTCTATTCAATTACCTTTCAAAGGTATTGTGATACTCTTAAGTGTATTTTTAAATCAGTTAGTCACCTGCATTTCAAAAATTAATGAGAAATCTTCCATAATTTTAAAAACAAAAAATATAAAACTGAATGGTTCTAAATCCAGGAGTAGAAGTCCTTTCTACATAGTGAGTTCCTTGCAGACACAGCATGTGGCCAATTTGTTCTTTTGTCCCTTATATCTGGCCTCTGAGCATATTTGTCTGCATATAACGAAAGTCTAATCAATCAACAGTTCTGATTAGAGTCATTTATGACTGGCCCTTTAAATGATAGAAATTAAATCCACTTCTGAAAATAATATTTTTCTAGTGGACACATAATTCTAGCCTCATCCTAAGAGGGGGCTAGAGCTAATATTTTACCACAAAAATAATCTTCATTTATTGGAGAAATATCTAACCACTGATATATACAGGCATCAGCTAGTCAGAACAGATGCCATGGCTCACCAAAAAAATGCCTCAATACATCAGAACAGATATCCATATAAATAACCAGCCCAATCCATTCTATATGGCATAAATATCAGCCCTGCTCACAGGTCCTTGGAAATGAGAAGCAGAGACATGGTTCATGTGGAGCAGAGACAAATAGATCAAAGGAAAGAGGATCATAGAACTAGGCTAAAATGTGAGGACTTAGTTCTAGGAACAGAATAAAGTACAGTTTCTAGAATTTAACCACAAAATCCATATCAGTCTTCTAGCAAGGCACAAGGGTTACTAAGAATATGGAGCATGGATCAGTTCGCATATTTGGTGCTGAATAATCTGAGTATTGACTTAGAGGTCCTGACAAATGATGGAATTGGTCCAGTGCTTTCAGAACAAAATAGAACCTCTAGGTGGAGGTTCTAGCTGATTCAGCTGTGGAAAAACAGGAAAACCACTTCTGACCTTGAAAAGAATATCATGTGTTATCAGGGGCATCTCCCTTTCTTTTTTCCCTCTGTTTCTTTCTTTTCGGTCTGAATTAGCTAGAATCGGTTTCTGTTGCTTGCAACCAGAGAATAACTAGTATATCAAATACTTTGCCTTGTTCTTGACACATTTCTATTAATCCGATCTAATCTCATTAGCTCTTTGAACAACCCACTGCTTATTCATTAGTTACTTCTGCAGATGTTCGTGTAATTTTGAGGTCTTGTTCTAAAATAATTTAATGCAAGATTAATGGAGAAAACATAGCAAGATTTGACAATATAAGTAATGGACTTTTCCCCCATGGATTTATAGTGAAGAGGCTATTGTTGGTTATCGATCACTGCTAAGTTCCAAGGCTCTGTCTCCCACACAGCCCCATCCCTTAGTTCATGCTGCTTTTTCTCCCTGAAATGCCCTTTCTAATACCTCCACCTGTAGAAAGCATACTTATCCTTAAAAGACTGATTTAAATATCAGCTCTGCAAAGTCTTCCCTATTTCTCAAGATAGAGCTAGTCACTCCACATCTGTGATTCCTGGCAACACCACTGCTATAGGAACAGTGCCTTGGACTGCAGGTAACTGAACTTCTCAGAGGATTCATCTTGGGTTGCCCAGAACTACAGCAAATATTAAAAGTTATATTTTATGACTCATTGGTATAAGGATGAATATGTTAATATTATATATTAAAACATTTACTCCTACCTAAAAGTTCACTTTTTTCTTCCAATTTCAAAAGAAATTAAAACATTTTTATGGACATTTAAAGGTATAGTGGACCCTTGGCCCTGTGCCTGCTACATCTAGTGGGTAAGTTATCCCTGCCTGCATGTGCCCTGACTTAGACATTTTTCTCACTTATTAGTCCACAGCTTAAAGGGGCCACTCTGCAGGGGGACAAAATTGGTTCTCATCTGGTCATGAGACAAACTTAGCATAAGGATCAAGTGATTCAGCTTCCAGGGGATTCTCTTAAAGGAGGTTTGAGTTTATCCCCACCAAAGAGCATGTTGAAATTTGATCCCCATTGTGGTGATATTGGGTGGTGGGGCCTAGTGGGAGCTGTTTGGGTCAGTGGGGCGGATCCCTCATGAATGACTTGGTGTCATTTTCAAGGTAGTGAGTGAGTTCTTGCACAGGCAAGATTGGATTAGTTCTCAGGAAAATGGATTCGTTCTTATGAGAGTGCATTTTTATAAAGCGAGGATGCCCCTCAGGTTTTGTTTCTTCATACATGTCCACCTCCCCTTTGACCTTTTCCACCATGTTATGACACAGCACAAATGCCCTCACCAGAAGCCAGGACCATGCCCTTAAGCTTCCCAGCCTGCAGAACTGTGAGCTAAATAAACCTCTTTCCCTTATAAATTATCCAGTCTCAGGTATTCTGTTAAAGCAACACAAAATGGATGAAGACAGAGGCTTATATTTTTTCCTAATTGAATTATTTCAAGTATATAATGATCCTTTTTTAAATAAAAATTCTAAACCCATTGAAAGTTTGCTAATTCAAACTTTAAAAAAGAAATTTCTAGATAAAATCAGGGCTACTATGGGCATTAGCAGTCATTTGTTTTATTTAGGGAAACATCAATTTAGAACAAAATTTTAGTTAATCCAAAATAAAATAACTAACCTTTGCATGATGCTTTACAATTTACTAAGCACTTTCGCATATATTATTTACATGATCTGCACACCAAATCTGAAATATTGCTGTCATTTATTTTTCATTTGACAAGCAAGAAAAACAAGCCTCAGACAGATTAAGTGACTTGCCCAAGGTCACACAACAGATAGTACATTCTAGGAGTCATGCCCAGTTCTTCTAATTTCAGAACCTCACATTCTTTTCACTATATCATGCTGCCTGTAGAAAAAAAAGCATCTATGTAAACACATGCATAAAAATGATGAGCTCACAATCTAAGTAGGTTGATGCTCTGTTAGGAAACCTAGTGGCATTTTGTGGAGATATAATTGTGTTGTGTGTTTAGTTCTAAAACATCTTAATAAGAGGATGGTTGACAAAATTTATTTTTAATGAGAGTCAAAACTAACCAAATGATATTTTTTATTTATGCAAAATTCTATAGATCATGAACTTTGGTTGAAATTATGACAAACATATCAGAAATACATAGATAGGTGTATATCTTTTTAATTTCAAGTTCCAAGTCTTTGCTGTTTAGGTTGTTACTATCCCTCTTCTTTCTTTCTCTTCCCGGCCTCTCAAGCCCACCGTTTTCAGGTATACAGGCTACAGCAAACTTGACTTTGAGAGTGTTTTCTTTCATCAACTCTTGTGCTCCTGAAAGGCGTTATTTCTCCACAAAAGAAAGAAATGAAAGGGAGGAAATGGCATTGAACAAATCTGGTCATGAAAAAGGCAAAATTATTTACAGCATGAAGACTATATCATACTTTTTTTAATGAAAGCTTATTAACATTAGCCAGCAGGGATCTTTACTCTTCACAGGAAAGTTGGGCAAATTAAAGAATGAGGCTTCAGAGAGTTCAAAAGGATATGTGACTCAACATCCTACAATAGACAAATTGACTATGTCAAGTATAAATGTGACTGTAGGTTTCACTGTTCTAGGAGCTAGTCTGAACAGAAATTATATTAAGCTAAGTCTGCAAGGTCAGAATGTCAATAATGGAATAATTTAATGTACACATTTCACCTCAGTTCAGTTTCATTTCGATTACCCACAGGAAGGTTGGTGAGTAGTTATAAGATTTTTCTGGAATGTATTTCCAGTTTAAAAATATGTATTATTTGGGGGTCCGTCCCAAGATGGCCAAATAGGAACAGCTGTGGTCTGCAGCTCCCAGCATGATCGATGCAGAAGATGGATGATTTCTGCATTTCCAGCTGAGCTCAGAAGAGAGCAGTGGTTCTCCTAGCATGGTGTTTGAGCTCTGAGAATGGACAGACTGACTCCTCAAGTGGGTCCCTGAGCCCCATGTAGCCTAACTCGGAGACACCTCCCAGTAGGGGCCGACTGACACCTCATACAGCCAGGTGCCCCTCTGAGACGAAGCTTCCAGAGGAAGGATCAGGCAGCAATATTTGCTGTTCTGCAATATTTGCTGTTCTGCAGCCTCCACCGGTGATACCCAGGCAAACAGGGTCTGGAGTGGACCTCCAGCAAAATCCAACGGACCTGCAGCTGAGGGACCTGACTATTAGAAGGAAAACTAACAAACAGAAAGGAATAGCATCAACATCAACAAGAAGGACATCCACACCAAAACCCCATCTGTAGGTCACCATCATCAAAGACCAAAGGTAAATAAAACCACAAAGATGAGGAGAAACCAGAGCAGAAAATCTTAAAATTCTAAAAACCAGAGCGCCCCTTCTCCTCCAAAGGATCGCAGCTCCTCACCAGTAACGGAACAAAGCAGGAGAGAGAATGACTTTGATGAGTTGACAAAAGTAGGCTTCAGAAAGTCGGTAATAACAAACTTCTCCGAGCTAAAGGATGATGTTCGAACTCATCACGAGGAAGCTAAAAACCTTGAAAAAAGATCAGACGAATGGCTAACTAGAATGAAGAGTGTAGAGAAGACCTTAAATGACCGATGGAGCTGAAAACCATGGTACGAGAACTACATGGCGCATGCACAAGCTTCAGTAGCCGATTCCATCAAGTGGAAGAAAGGGTATCAGCGATTGAAGATCAAATTAATGAAATGGAGGAAGGAGAGAAGTTTAGAGAAAAATGAGTAAAAAGAAACAAACAAAGCCTCCAAGAAATATGGGACTATGTGAAAAGACCAAATCTATGTTTGATTGGTATACCTGAAAGCGACAGGGAGAATGGAACCAAGCTGGAAAACACTCTTCAGGATATTATCCAGGAGCACTTCCCCAACCTAGCAAGGCAGGCCAACATTCAAATTCAGGAAATACAGAGAACACCACAAAGATACTTCTTGAGAAGAGCAACCCCAAGACACATAATTGTCAGATTCACCAAGGTTGAAATGAAGGAAAAAATGCGAAGTGCAGCCAGAGAGAAAGGTTGGGTTACCTATAAAGGGAAGCCCCTCAGACTAACAGCAGATCTCTCGGCAGAAAGCCGACAACCAGAAGAGAGTGGGGGCCAATATTCAACATTCTTAAAGGAAAGAATTTTCAACCCAGAATTTCATATCCAGCCAAACTAAGCTTCATAAGTGAAGGAGAAATAAAATCCTTTCAGACAAGCAAATGCTGAGAGATTTTGTCACCACCAGGCCTGCCTTACAAGAGCTCCTGAAGGAAGCACTAAACATGAAAAGGAGCAACCTGTACCAGCCACTGCAAAAACATGCCAAATTGTAAAGACCATCAATGCTAGGAAGAAACTGCATCAACTAACGGGCAAAATAACCAGCTAACATCATAATGACAGGATCAAATTCACACATAACAATATTAACCTTAAATGTAAATGGGTTAAATGCCCCAATTAAAAGACACAGACTGGCAAATTGGATAAAGATTCAAGACCCATCACTGTGCTGTATTGAAGAGACCCATCTCACATGCAGAGACACATGTAGGCTCAAAATAAAGGGATGGAGGAAGATCTACCAAGCAAATGGAAAACAAATAAAAAGCAGGGGTTGCAATCCTAGTCTCTGATAAAACAGACTTGAAACCAACAAAGATCAAAAGAGACAAAGAAGCCCATTGCATAATGGTAAAGGGATCAATTCAACAAGAAGAGCTAACTCTCCTAAATATATATGCACCCAATACAGGAGCACCCAGATTCATAAAGCAAGTCTGGAGAGATGTAAAAAGAGACGTAGATTCTGACACAATAATAATGGGAGACTTTAACACCCCACTGTCAATATTAGACAGATCAGCGAGACAGAAAGTTAACAAGGATATTCAGGACTTGAACTCAGCTCTGCACCAAGCGGACCTAATAGACATCTACAGAACTCTCCACTCCAAATCAATAGAATATACATTCTTCTTAGCACCACATCATACTTATTCCAAAATTGACCACATAGTTGGAAGTAAAGCACTCCTCAGCAATGTAAAAGAACAGAAATCACAACAAACTGTCTCTCAGACCTCAGTGCAATCAAATTAGAACTCATGATTAAGAAACTCACTCAAAACCACACAACTACATAGAAACTGAACAACCTGCTCCTGAATGACTACTGGGTAAATAACAAAACGAAGGCAGAAATAAAGATGTTCTTTGAAGCCAATGAGAACAGAGACACAACATACCAGAATCTCTGGGACACATTTAAAGCAGTGTGTAGAGGGAAATTTATAGCACTAAATGCCCACAAAAGAAAGCAGGAAAGATCTAAAATCGACACCCTAATATCACAATTGAAAGAACTAGAGAAGCAAGAGCAAACACATTCAAAAGCTAGCAGAAAGCAAGAAATAACTAAGATCAGAGCAGAACTGAAAGAGCTAGAGACACAAAAAAACCCTTCAAAGAAATCAATGAATCCAGGAGCTGGTTTTTTGAAAAGACCAACAAAATTGATAGACTGCTAGCAAGACTAATAAAGAAGAAAAGAGATAAGAATCAAATAGACACAATAAAAAAATGATAAAGGGGATATCACCACTGATCCCACAGAAATACAAACTACCATCAGAGAATATTATAAACACCCCTATGCACATATACTAGAAAATCTAGAAGAAATTGATAAATTCCTGGACACATACACCCTCCCAAGAGTAAACCAGGAAGAAGTTGAATCACTGAATAGACCAATAACAGGCTCTGAAATTGAGGCAATAATTAATAGCCTACCAACCAAAAAAAGTCCAGGACTAGACAGATTTACAGCCGAATTCTACCAGAGGTACAAAGAGGAGCTGGTACCATTCCTTCTGAAACTATTCCAATCAATAGAAAAAGAGGGAATCCTTCCTAACTCATTTTATGAGGCCAGCGTCATCCTGATACCAAAGCCTGGCAGAGACAGGCAAAAAAGAGACAAAAAAAGGAATTTTAGACCAATATCCCTGATGAACATCAATGCAAAAATACTCAATAAAATCCTGGCAAACCGAAGCCAGCAGCACTTCAAAAAGCTTATCCACCAAGATCAAGTTGGCTTCATCCCGGGGATGCAAGTCTGGTTCGACATATGCAAATCAATAAACATAATCCATCACATAAACAGAACCGAAGACAAAAACCATATGATTATCTCAATAGATGCAGAAAAGGCCTTTGACAAAATTCAACAGCCCTTCATGCTAAAAACTCTCAATAAACTAGGTACTGATGGGACGTATCTCAAAATAATAAGAGCTATTTATGACAAACCCACAGCCAATATCATACTGAATGGGCAAAACCTGGAAGCATTCCCTTTGAAAACTGGCACAAGACAGGGATGCCCTCCCTCACCACTCCTATTCAACATAGTGTTGGAAGTTCTGGCCAGGGCAATCAGGCAAGAGAAAGAAATAAAGGGTATTCAATTAGGAAAAGAGAAGTCAAATTGTCCATGTTTGCAGATGACATGATTGTATATGTAGAAAACCCCATCGTCTCCCCCCAAAATCTTCTTAAGCTGATAAGCAATTTCAGCAAAGTCTAAGGATATAAAATCAATGTGCAAAACTAATAAGCTTTCTTATACACCAATAACAGACAAACAGAGAGCCAAACCATGAGTGAGCTCCCATTCACAACTGCTACAAAGAGAATGAAATACCTAGGAATCCAACTTACAAGGGATATGAAGGACCTCTTCAAGGAGAACTACAAACCACTGCACAACAAAATAAAACAGGACACATACAAATGGAAGAACATTCCATGCTCATGGACAGGAAGAATCAATATAGTGAAAATGGCCATACTGCCCAAGGTAATTCATAAATTCAATGCCATTCAGATCAAGCTACCAATGACTTTATTCACAGAATTGGAAAAAAACACTTTAAAGTTTGTATGGAACCAAAAAAGAGCCTGCATTGCCAAGACAATCGTAAGCAAAAAGAACAAAGCTGGAGGCATCACACTACCTGACTTCAAACTATTCTACAAGGCTACAGTAACCAAAACAGCATGGTACTGGTACCAAAACAGACATAGAGACCAATGGAACAGAACAGAGACCTCAGAAATAACACCACACATCTACGACCATGTGATCTTTGACAAACCTCACAAAAACAAGCCATGGGAAAAGGATTCCCTATTTAATAAATGGTTCTGGGAAAACTGGCTAGCCATAGGTAGAAAGCTGAAACTGGATCCCTTTCTTACACCCTATACAAAAATTAATTCAAGATGGATTAAAGACTTAAATGTTAGACCTAAAACCATCAAAACCCTAGAAGAAAACCTAGGCAATACCATTTAGGACATAGGCATGGGCAAGGAGTTAATGACTAAAGCACCAAAAGCAATGGCAGCAAAAGCCAAAATAGACAAATGGGATCTAATTAAACTAAGGAGCTTCTGCACAGCAAAAGAAACTATCATCAAAGTGAACAGGCAACCTACAGAAAGGGAGAAAATTTTTGCAATGTACCCATCTGACAAAGAGCTAATATCCAGAATCTACAAAGAACTTAAGCCAATTTACAAGAAAAAATCAAACAACCCCATCAAAAAGTGGGCAAAAGATATGAGCAGATGCTTTTCAAAAGAAGACATTTATGCAGCCAACAGAGACGTGAAAAAATGCTCATTGTCACTGGTCATCAGAGAAATGCAAATCAAAACCACAATGAGACACCATCTCACACCAGTTAGAATGGTGATCATTAAAAAGTCAGGAAACAACAGGTGCTGGAGAGGATGTGGAGAAATAGGAATGCTTTTACACTGTTGATGGGACTGTAAACTAGTTCAACCATTGTGGAAGACAGTGTGGCAATTCCTCAAGGATCTAGAATTAGAAATACCATTTGACCCAACAATCCCATTACTGGGTATACACCCAAAGGATTATAAATCATGCTACTATAAAGACACATGCACACGTATGTTTATTGTGGCACTATTCACAGTAGCAAAGACTTGGAACCAACCCAAATGTCCATCAATGATAGACTGGATTAAGAAAATGTGGCACATATACACCATGGAATACTATGCAGCCATAAAAAAGGATGAGTTCATGTCCTTTGTAGCAACATGGATGAAGCTGGAAACCATCATTCTGAGAAAACTATCACAAGGACAGAAAACCAAACACTGCATGTTCTCACTCATAGGTGGGAATTGAACAATAAGAACACTTGGACACAGGGCAGGGAAGATCACACACCGGGGCCTACTGTGGGGTGGGAGGATAGGGGAGGGATAGCATTAGGAGAAATACCTAATGTAAATGACGAGTTAATGGGTACAGCAAACCAACATGGCACATGTATACATATGTAACAAACTTGCACGTTGTGCACATGTACCCTAGAACTTAAAGTATAATATATATATTATTTTACTTATAAAAATTAAATTACTTTTACAAGTGCCTTGATTTTACATATTTTACGTTTTATTCACTTAATTTGTTATATGAATACAAATAACTACACTGTATATTTTTAAAATACATAACCTAATTTTGTTATGCATTCCATATCCTTCAACTTTTTGGTTTCTGGGTCACAAAATAAAGG
Organism: Homo sapiens; assembly: GCF_000001405.40. Classification (NCBI taxonomy): domain Eukaryota; kingdom Metazoa; phylum Chordata; class Mammalia; order Primates; family Hominidae; genus Homo; species Homo sapiens. The sequence continues at coordinate 77,437,641 of NC_000013.11, read as the reverse complement.
CATATTTCAGGTGCTGTCCCATGAGGTTACCACTGCCACAGATGGCTTTTTATCTGCAGCGGACATCCTAAGCAGAGAGTCCACAGGTCAACCAAATGCTGCATTACAACCTGGCTCAACACAGCAGTGAGGCACTTGAAGCCATGTTTGCATAGTATGTGTTCCTTGTAGTCAGGCAGTTTGTTGTCATAGTAGTAAATTTCATCTGACAATCTAAGAACAATATTTGCTCCCCCGTATTTTGCTGATTGGCACATGGAATAGCCCCCAAAATTTGGATAAACATTATAGGAGCTAAGAGGAAACAGTCAGTACTGATGGAATGTTTCACAGGGCAGATGGGCTTTTGAGGATACTTTTTTTTTTACATATATGTACATTAAGTTCTGGGATACATGTGCAGAACATGCAGGTTTGTTACATAGGGATACACATTCCATGGTGGTTTGTTGCATCCACCAACCTGTCATCTACATTAGGTATTTCTCCTAATGCTATCCCTCCCCCAGCCCCCACCCTCCGACAATCCCCAGTGTGTGATGTTCCCCTCCCTGTGTCCAAGTGTTCTCATTGTTCAACTCCCACTTATGAGTGAGAAAATGTGGTGTTTGGTTTTCTGTTCCTGTGTTACTTTGCTGAGAATGATGGTTTCCAGCTTCATCCATGTCCCTGCAAAGGACATGATCTCATCCTTTTTTATGGCTGCATAGTCTTCCATGGTGTACATGTGACACATTTTCTTTATCCAGTCTATCACTGATGGGCATTTGGGTTGGTTCCAAGTCTTTGCTATTGTGAATAGCACTGCAATAAACATATGTGTGCATGTGTCTTTACAGTAGAATGATTTATGTTTCTTTGGGTATATGCCCAGTAATGGATTTGCTGGGTCAAATGGTATTTCTAGTTCTAGATCCTTGAGGAATCGCCACATGGTCTTCCACAATGGTTGAATTAATTTACACTCCCACCAACAGTGTAAAAGCATTCCTATTTCTCCACATCCTCTCCAGCATCTGTTGTTTCCTGACTTTTTAATGATCACCATTCTAACTGGCGTGGTATCTCATTGTGGATGGTATCTCATTGTGGTTTTGATTTGCATTTCTCTAATGACCAGTGCTGATGAGCTTTTTTTCATGTTTTTTGGCTGCATAAATGTCTTCCTTTGAGAAGTGTCTGTTGATATCGTTCGCCCACTTTTTGATGGTGTTGTTTGTTTGTTTCTTGTAAATTCCTTTAAGTTCTTTGTAGATTCTGGATATTAGCCCTTTGTCAGATGGGTACATTGCAAAAATTTTCTCCCTTTCTGTAGGTTGCCTGTTCACTTTGATGATAGTTTCTTTTGCTGTGCAGAAGCTCCTTAGTTTAATTAGATCTCATTTGTCTATTTTGGCTTTTGTTGCCATTGCTTTTGGTGCTTTAGTCATTAACTCCTTGCCCATGCCTATGTCCTAAATGGTATGCCTAGGTTTTCTTTTAGGGTTTTGATGGTTTTAGGTCTAACATTTAAGTCTTTAATCCATCTTGAATTAATTTTTATATAAGGTGTAAGAAAGGGATCCAGTTTCAGCTTTCTACATATGGCTACCCAGTTTTCCCAGAACCATTTATTAAATAGGGAATCCTTTTCCCATGACTTGTTTTTGTGAGGTTTGTCAAAGATCATATGGTCGTAGATGTGTGGTGTTATTTCTGAGGTCTCTTCTGTTCCATTGGTCTCTATGTCTGTTTTGGTACCAGTACCATGCTGCTTTGGTTCTGTAGCCTTGTAGAATAGTTTGAAGTCAGGTAGTGTGATGCCTCCAGCTTTGTTCTTTTTGCTTAGGATTGTCTAGGCTATACTTTTAATAATGATTTATGGAAGCTCTATCATGGGTCAGGTGTGTGTTCAGCTCTAGGGAATACCAGGAGGAAGAAGACATACCCCTAACTTCAAAGAGCTCAGCAGGATTATCATTATCTTACCTACAAAATCTAGCACTCTGATTGGCACATAATAGGTGCTCAATAAGTCTTTGCTGAATCAGTGGAAGGTCTGCTTACTATTACAAAAGCATTGCTACAAACATAGTCATAAACACACAGGAGCTCCAAGCTGGAGAGGCAGAGTAAACAAAAGGATCAGGCATGAATGAAATGAGGGGGGATAATAATAAGTGTAGCTGGGATTAGACAATATGGAAGAGAAATGTGATGTGAAAAATAAAATCTTAAAATGGAAGATGTAGGCTGGGCTCCACACGCCTGTAATCCAAGCACTTTGGGAGGCTAACCCGGGTGGATAACCTGAGGCCAGGAGTTCAAGACCAGCCTGGTCAGCATGGCAAAACCCCATGTCTACTAAAAATACAAAAATTAGCCGGGCATGATGGTGCATGCCTGTAATCCCAGCTACTCAGGAGGCTGAAGCAGGATAATTGTTTGACCCCGGGAGGCGGAGGTTGCAGTGAGCTGAGATCGTGCCACTGCACTCTAGCCTGGGCAACAGAGTGAAACTCTGTCTCAGAAATAAATAAATAAATAAATGGAAGATGTAAGTTAATTTTATAAGAAAGGAAAGAAGAAGTTAACGAAGACAAGAAAACTAAAAATTTTCCAATATTTACTTGGAAATTGAAAACTTTGACATCACTGATAAATATGCAATATTGTATTAATTTAAACAGAAGATAAATTTTAAAACACATTTTGGAGACTTTAATTATGACTAGCCATGAAAAAAATCAGCAATGTTTTAAAACTTCCATTTTTTTCAACCACTTAAGTTTCTATGCTAAATAATTATAGATTGTTAATCTTTGTTTTCCCATAGTAATCCTTAAATAGTTTTTGAAATTAGTCTTTTAACTTAAGGAAAGAATGTTGTTTCATAGATATGGTGATGGGAATTGTCAAAAATAAAATTAATAAAGAGCACACTTTAAGAAAAACTAGCACTCACATAATTTGTAACTATCCCAGAAAGTTCTTAATGTTTTTCAATTTTACTTTGAATAAAAGTACACAGAGCAATAACTAGTAATGATTTGCATAAGTCTACTGAGAATACTTTTTGATTCTTCAAAAAGAATCCCTTTGAATTAATAGAACTGGAATCAGAAATACAAGCAAGTCATCAATTTGACTTTGCCAGTGAAGTCGGCCAAGGTCCAGAGAGCAACTGGAAATCTGACAAAGCAGAGAGTGCAAAAATTTGACATTTCAGATCTCAGTTGCATTTTGGCTATGGGAGTTTTTTTGAATTGAAAAGCATGACAAATCTTAAAAGGATAATTTCTTAAAAGGACAATCTTATAATATCTATGTGAGATATAGGCATTGTTAACAAATATATTAATATATGATTCTCACCAAGATTTCTTCATTCTTATAGCTAAAATGTAGCCTACTATCTAAGAGTTTTCTGTTGCTAAGACAGCTCTTAACCTTTGTCACTGCCAATAGAGACTTTTCTATTCTAAAAACCTGACCATGTTTAAAGCCCTCTCAGAGAAGTCCTGACTTCCCAATAAGATATATTTATGGCCACCAAGGTAGCTTGCACCCATAGTCCCAGCTCCTGGGGCGGCTAAGGCAAGAGGATTTCTTGAGGCCAGGAGTTTGGGATTGCAGTACACTATTATCACACCTGTGAATAGCCACAGCACTCCAGCCCGGGCAACATAGAGAGACCCCATCTCTTAAAAGAAAAAGATGTATTTATGCCTTCTTTACACATCAAAGTAATAGAAGCATAATACATTTTTTGAGAGACATACAATAATAAATGCATTTATGTAATTTTCAACATTTTTCACTAACAGAAACATTCTGAATTACAAAAGACAAATTTAACCTGCTTATTGATATTGTTTAGAGGTGAATGTTTACATTTTATTTGATAACATATAATTTGGCCCTCTAATTGCTTAGGCATTTAGACATTAGTTAGGTAAGTTTTACAGTGTCTCAAGCAACTCACAGAATAATATATTAATTTTTAAGATTATTGCAATGAAATATAGATTTATTTAAATATTTGGAACTTACCTACTCTATTCTTGCTAAAGCTTGGGACAAACCAAAATAAATATGCCAGTAGCATAATACTGCTGCCAGATTGTTAAGAAAATCTGGCCAAATTTGATTCTATTCAAGACCAAATTTTTATTTTCAAAATATATAATGGGAACTCTCAAAATGACTAAAACTTTCTATACACACAGGCCCCTTATAGCCTATGGGTCCAAGTGTACCCAAGTTTTACTCTATTTAAAATCGATTTGGACCTATCACTTTATTTTGGAAATAAAGGGATTAATTTCCTTAGAACCAATAAGAGTAGAACCTACAACAACTCTCCCATTGGAAGCAATGCAAGTATTTTCCAAAATACTGGAAAGAGACTACTAGAAGATGACAATGTTCTGAAGATGTAAAGCAAAGATGTCTTGAAGAAGAAAGACAAGATGTTGTGGTCCCAGAAAGTAGTTAGGTTCAAATAATTTAAAAAGCGATAATAAGAGTAGGGCATAGGCAGATTTGGCTCAGAGGGGTTGAGGGAGAAGACAGACTGATAATTATTAAACCGTGGCAAGTAATTAGAAAAGGTCCAAGTAAAATTCTCTCTGTCTGATGTTGATACTGAACAGAGCACTTATGCTTTGCCTGAGCCTACTGTGGAAATCAACTGAACTTAGCAGTTGCTAAGGGGAAAATTCTGGGCAGAAGCCAAACAAGTCCGTGTAGTCTCAGTAAATTGTACCCAAAAAAAGGAATGTGCTCCTACACAGGTAGCCAACAATTATTCTTATCTTTAGATGTGCATGCCAATCTTCTCTTCAAGAAGGAGAATCTATTTCCCCTCTTCTCAGCTCTGATCTGGACTTATGACTTATTTTGGCCAAGAGGATGCAGCAGAAGTGATAGACACTGTGCCTGTTCTGAGCTGAGACTTTAAGAACCCTTTTGGAAACCAGTTGTCATGTTTGAAGGAAGCCAGCTTAGACTGCTCAAGGAAGAGATCTACCTGGAAGAGGACCGAGGTGCTCCAGCCACTCAAACCACCCCAGCTGAGCCACCAGATGTATAAGGGGGGTCTTTTTCAATCTTCTAGACCCAGCCCAGCCACCAACTAATTATATTTGTGTGACCCCAGTTGATACAGCATGGAGCAGAAGACCTGCCAGTCAACCTGTAAGAGAAATAGCAAATCATAAGCCACTAATTTTCAAGGTACTTATACAGCAATAGATAATTACAATTTAAGCAAATCCAAAGGAAATGTAACAAGAGCAGAGACTAGTAGCTGAAGAATAATAGATGAATTTTAAAGGAACTATTTTTTTTAAAGTAACATGAAGTGACAAATGCTAGGGTAGACAACAGAAGAATGGCAATAGAAAATGGCCAAGAAAGCCAATTAATGAGTCTGGGAGGCTGATGACTGAACGTCTAGAATCATTAAACCAAAAACTATCTTTTTGGTTTAACTTGGAACATAGGAGAAAAATTAATTGTTGTGATAAAAGAAAATTGGTCATTTTCAGTAATAGTAAAAGAGCTTACTGCATTCCAATTTGAATATGACTAGGGCAGCTGAACAAAAGTTAAAAATCTCTTTAGAGAAATCAGGAAGCTACCAAAGCAGTCAATACTTCAGGAGCCGTGATCCCAGAGAGAAAAGAAGCTTGTTGACATGACCTCAACAATCTGCGGAAGTCTGATGCATTTGATGATTTCTAAGCTACAGCTACATAGGATTGAGACACTAAGAAACCAAGAAGAAGTTAATGTCTAAAAGCTGGAATCCTAAACAGTGTTCAACAATCTTACTACTGAAAAATTAGAGTTCAGGGCCCTCCCAGAAGGAAGACTACTAGTAAATTTCTTATACTTCCAGTCAAGACTTCAGAAAGACTATAGTCTGAGAATAAATGTGAACTACAATTAGACTTAATTTTACCAAGTACTGAAACCATCTCTGAGTCAACTCAACCTCAGGTTGAACTGTGGTGAACTTCTCTTAATCTAATTGCTAATTAGAAAGGGGGGAAAATCCTCCCTGGAGGAAGGTAACATCTATGAAAGCCTCAAATTATTTATACAATTTTTCAAACACAATGTCTGGCACTCAATTTAAAAACTACAAGGTATGCCTGGAAAAGACAAAATATCTGGCATATAATAGAGAAAACAGACAATGGAAGCAGTCCTATAGGTGATCCAGATATTACAGTTATTACTTGTGGTCTTGGAAATCATTGTAAATATATCTAAGAAAATAAATGACAAGATGGAAAATTTCACTAGAGAACTAGCATCTACAAAAAAAATTACATCTAAGTAAAAAGTCTGTAAATAGGCACTACAATAACAAAAAAATTAAAATCCAATAGATGGGGTTAACTCCAATTTAGACATAGCAAAAGAAAAAATTAGAAATCAGAAGGAAGTTTTATAGAATATATCCACTAAAGCATGGGGAGAAAAAAAATGAAAAAAAGCCACTGTAAAAAGTGTAAACATATAGGCTAGAATGAAAAGATCTAACATATACATAGCCTATAAAAAGTTTGAAAACCAAGAATAGAAGACATCATAGATTATACCTTACCAAAGATGGTCATATAGTCTTTAGTATGGTACTTCTCCTGTTGAGAGTTGAAATCTAATTCCTCTCTCCTTGGATTTGGGCTGGTCTTAGTGACTTTCTTGAGCAGTAGAAAATGGTAGAAGTGACATTCCAGGACTTCTAATCTTGGTCATAAGTCTTGAAGCTTCCACTCAAGCTTCTTCAAACACTATGTTTGCTAGTCTTGAGCTATAATGTAAAAATTCAACTAACCTGAAATCACCATACTGGAGAAGCCATTATGTAGCCACCATGGTGAATAGCCCCAGCTGAGCCAGACTTCTAGTGATCCCTGCCAAGGGGACATGTAAGAGAAGCCATCCACCAGCTGAATACCTCAAAGTGACCTCTCTTCGCACCATATGAAATCCCCAAATTTCCCAGGGTTATGTTCATTATTAATGTAGCAGTTGATGAAGAGTCAAGGACATCTTGTACTTAAATGGTATGGGGTGAGAAATGTTACCAATCATTTTCAGATTAGTGAAAGAGGATCTGAGATATCATAAACTGCTGAAATTACACAGAGCATCTCCTATCTAGTTAGTTCACTAGAACAGGGGTCAGCAAACATTTACCGCAAAGTCTCAGATAGAATATACTTTAGGCTTTATAGGCCAAGCCTATACCTACTATATATATATAGTAGGTACTTACATAACAGAGAAAATAAACTGCCATTAAAATTTTATTGAAAGTATTTTAATTAAATATTAATAATAGAGTATAATATTTTGTAACACAGGTCTACTAATGAGAAGAATGGAATTCTTTTGGGGGTGATAGCATTTAGTTTAATTGGGGTTCCAAATTAGTTTGCCCTATCATCAAATAAATTGGACATGTTCAACTATAAAAACAATTCTTAGCTCATAGGCCATACAAAAATAGGCATCCGACCAGATTTGGCCCACAGGCTGCGGTTTGCTAACCCCTGTACTGTAATCTAAAAAAAGCAAATTGAGTAGCTTTCCTTGAAGCTCCTCTGCAATTAGGTAAACACACAAGGTTAGTGTTGTTTTTGTTTTATATGCTCTTCTGTTGGCTTTGCACAGAGCAGGGAAGATCCACAAATATTTGCTGGGTGCCTTTATGTGATTACTGAGACATATGAGTAACGATGTGGTTTGGCTGTGCCACCACCCAAATCTCATTTTGAACTGTAGCTCCCACAGTTCCGTGTTGTGGGAGGGACCCAGTGGGAGGTAATTGAATCATGGGGGCAGGTCTTTCCCATGCTATTCTCATGATGGTGACTACGTCTTATGAGATATGATGGTTTTATAAAGGGGAGTTTCCCTGCACAAGCTCTCTTTTCTTGTGTACCGCCATGTGAGACAGGTCTTTCACCTCCTGCCATGTTTGTGAGGCCTCCCCAGCCAAGTAGAACTGTGAGTCCATTAAACCTGTTTCTTTTGTACATTGCCCAGTCTCGGGTATGTCTTTACCAGCAGCATGAAGAAGGACTAATACAACTAAAGTGATAAGAAACTGCCCTTCAGGTTTCTCTTCCCTTTTTTCTACATCTCTTGACTTCACTTAAGATCCGCTTTAGAAAGCCTCCCCATCTCTCTGGCACAGAATCACAAAATTGGCCCTATCTGCTAAATATATCTGGGCCTTGAGACTCTGGGTTACTCATCCTCTCTCTGTAAAATCTCCCCTATTTAAGTTTAAGCATCTTCATTGTCAAGAACATTTTTTCCAACCTCACTCACTCAAGTTATGATATAAATTGCTTTCAATTTAACTAACGTAGAAGTTGGTTACTGGTCTGCAAGTATCCCCTCTGTACTTTATGGATGGTCCTATACAGCCTTTTTCATCTCTTCCTCTAAGTGTGTGACAATGTCTGCTTGAATACAGGGAGTGTTTGCTAAGAAACACATTGTTGTGCTAGATCTAAGACAAAAACCAACACCATCAATGAAAATAGTTACATGGTATCATTATTTTCACCTGTGATTAGCTATGGGGTTTTTGTTAAAATCCAACAGACTGTATCTGAAAAACAATGTGATCTGAGGTGAATCAACGTTCTTAGAAAAATTCCAGTAACTCCTACTAAAAATTGCACACTACCATTAAATAAATTCACATGTTGCTAACAAAAACACACAGTTTAGATAATTGAATTCAGTTACTCTACAATGGAAACAGTACTATTTTGGAAAAGACAGAATTTTAACTGTCATTACTAGGCATGCTCCCATTCTCCCATTTTATTTCTTTGTATGAAAACATTTATTTTGAAATTGTCTATAGGCACAATTTGTCTGAAATGATAGATAATGAGAAATGCATAAGATATGTAATTAGCAGATACTTGCACAAAAAAAGAATAACCTAAAACTGGAATTTCTTCATTATTTTTCTGTGCCTAGAAAATCAAAGATCATATTCATCTTTTCTTCAAACTCTCTTACATGGTGTTTTGTTACTTTTATATTTTCTTATAATGAATGAGTTATCTTAAATGACCATCTTATCTTGCTCAGTCCTTTGTCCACATATTTCCATCTACAGCATTAGAGCACTAGAATTTGGCCCAATGATGGGCCAAAGTATGTTGATTAAATTACTAACTCCTATGAGTTCCCACCAACTTGAACATTTTCATTTTTGTTCATAAGGACATGAAAGGATTGCTGTGAACATTGTCTGCTTTCCTAACAGAATTACATTTTGACCTCTGATAATTGAACCTAAACTTTAGGGTGGGACTTTTCTCTGGAATATGTTAATTAGGACCCCAAGGAACTTAGCATATTTTGCTTATCTAACATATCCAATATGTCATTCTCTTTCTCCTGGAACAGATTCTCTTATAGAAACCATAACTTTTTTTTTTGTCTCAACAAAGATGCATTAAGCCTAGGCATGCCAGTTCCTAAAAGTATAGTAAATGTCATTGTGCAAACTTAGTTACTTCAAAAGGGCAGAATCATCAGAAGGCTCATAGCTGTTGGCTTTGTTTGTCACCTGAGAATGGAATTGAACAACTGCACCAAAGAATTTCTGTACTTGGTTCTAAGTGCTTTTCATGAAGACATAAATGTGTTCCATCATTTTATTTACTGTTTCTATATGTCTTCATCAGGATTCCTCCATTTGTCACCGTACATTCTGGGAAGGATAGCTCATTCTTGGATTATCAGTAACCACACATGGCAAGTATGTCATTGTTAATCAGTTGATTTGTGAGTGAATTCTACTATTAGCAATATCTAGAGTAGCTCACTCTTCTCTGAATTTTCCCAAAGCACACACTTAGCATGTGTTATGGGCTGAACTGTGTTCTCCCCCAATTTTTATATTGAAATCTCAACCCCCTTACCTTGGAATGTGATTGTATTTGGAGATGCGATCCTCATGGAGGTAATTAAGTTTGAATGAGGTCATGAGGGTGGGTTGTAACCCAATATGGCTGGTATCCTTATAAGAAGAGGAGAATAGGGCCGGGCACAGTGGCTCAAGCCTGTAATCCAGCACTTTGGGAGGCCGAGGCGGGCAGATCACCTGAGGTCAGGAGTTCAAGACCAGCCTGGCCAACATGGTGAAACCCCATCTCTACTAAAAACACAAAAATTAGCTGGGCATGGTGGCACATGGTTGTAATCCCAGCTACTCAGGAGCCTGAGGCAGGAGAATCGCTTGAACCCAGGAGGTGAAGGTTGCAGTGAGCTGAGATTGCGCCATTGCACTCCAGCCTGGGGGAAAAGAGCAAGACTTCATCTCAAAAAAAAAAAAAAAGTAGGACACAGGCACAAAGGGAAGACCAAGTAAAAACAAAGGAGGAAACACATTATAAGCAAAGGAGAGACAGAGCTTAGAAGAAATCAATCCTGTGAACCCAAAATATCTGAGACAGGTCTCAACCAATTTATCAAGTTTATTTTGTCACGGTTAAGGACACGCATGTGACACAACCTCAGGAGGTCCTGACAATGTGCTAAGGTGGTCAGGGTACAGCTTGCTTTTACACATTTTAGAGAGACAAGAGACATCAATCAATATGTGTAAGATGTAAATTGGTTCGGTCCCATAAGGTGCAACAACTTGAAGCAGAGATTTCCAGGTCATAGGTAGATAAGAGAGAAGAAGTTGCATTCTTTTGAGTCCTTGGTCAGCCTTCCACTGAATACACAATTTAGTCTGGCTCAGTGATTCTGCATTTTTACATAAACAATAGGGTAGAGGAAGAAATCAGATAGATGTGCATTTGTTTCAGGTAAGCAGAGGGGTGACTTTATGTCCTGCATCGGTGGAGATAAGCTATCCGTTTACATTGCCAGGGTGAAATTCAGCAGAACTGCGTTAGGGCAAAAATCTTGAGCCCCATGAAGAATTCCTTATAGGAAAATTGTGAGGGAAGTATGGAGCTCTTTTACCTTTTTAGCTATCTTATCTAGGAATAAAATAGGAGGCAGGTTTGCCTGAGGTAGTTCCCAGCTTGACTTTTCCCTTGGCTTGGTGATTTTGGGGGGTCCTAAGATTTATTTTCCTTTCACAACACCTTGATCTTGGACTTCTAGCTTCCAGAATTGTGGGAAAATAAATTACTGTTGTCTGAGCCCCCCAGTCTGTGGTACTTTATTATGCAGCCGTAGCTAGCTAATACAGTATGCCAACCCAGGCAACAGTTATTTATGCAATAGTATAGCTTCTAGAGGTCAACCTTATGAGATCCTTGGAATTAAAGTCCATGTCCTAAACATTTCTGTGTCCTCTGCAACATACTCTTTTGCACATAATAGATGTTTAATAAGTATAAACTGAACAAATTAATTTTAAAATACAGAAATAGTACAATATTTGTCTACAAGAATATTTTTAAGCAAGCTTTGAAATACATTTTTTAAAAATACATTTAATTTTTAAATACAATATTAAGGAAAAGGACTTGTAAGTATTATGATATTCTACTACGAATAATACCTAACATGGTATTATGATCTTGAAAGAGCTTTTATATATATGGTAATTGGATGAGTTCCCTACTGCTGCTATAACAAGTTACCATAAATAGAGTAACTTGAAATAACACAAATTACTCTCCTACAGTTGTGGAGGTCAGAAGTCTAAAATCCAGGTCTTATCGGGACTGCTGCCTCCCAGAGGCTCAGGGAAGAATCTGTTTCCTTCGCTTTTCCAGTTGGTAGAAGCTGCCTACATTCCGTAGCTCCTGGCCCCTTTCCCATCTTCAAAGGACATCCCTCCAACCTCTGGTTTTGTCATCACATCTTCTTTTTTTGACTTTGATCCTCCTGACTTCTGCTTATAAAGAACCTTGTGATGACGTTAAGCCTATCTGGATAATCTCCTCATCTCTAAACCCTTAACTTAACCATAGCTGCTAATCCCTTTTACCATAAAAAGTAATATACTCACAGATCCCAGTGATTAGGACCATGGACATCTTTGGAGGACCATTCATCAGACTACCACATTTTGGGCAAGCTCTGGGTTAGTCATGCTGTAACAGAAGCAAGTGAAGAGGCTAAAGCCGCCCTGGAGACTGCCCAGAAAAGGAAGTAGAGAAGAGAACCTGCTCCAAGGTGAGTATAAGTAAAAGCAGATAGGCAGGCAGAGGGTCAGTGTTTAAAAGGCATATCAAGCTCAGGAGTGGTCCCAGAAAATGAAAGTAAAACTTGTTCCCTGTTCCTGTCAAGCCCACCACCCTGGTAAATTAACTTTTAATTTATTTAGTAGGATGGAGAAATGGAAAGTATATGCCTGCTAAATTTGAAAATTAATTCCATTCAAACGATGAATTCTGGCAATCATTCCAGGTCCATGTCCTAAAAAGTACTTAACCTTTACAGAGATATCATATTAAAACATAATTTAATGGTCAACAGGTATATGAGAAATACTCAACATCCCTAATAATCAGGGAAATGCAAATCAAAACCACAGTGAGATATCATTAAATATTAGTAAATTAGTATAGCCATTATGGAAAACAGTATGGCAATTACTCAAAAAAACAAAAAACAGAACTATTATATAATCCAGCAACCCCACCATTGGATATTTATCCAAAGGAAAAGAAATCAGTATACCAAAGGGATACCTCCACTCGCATGCTTATCACAGCTCTGTTTACAATAGCAAAGATATGGAATCAACCTAAGTATCCATCAATGGACAAATAGATATAGGAAATATAGTATATATACACCACAATGGAATACTATTCAGCCATGAAAAGAATGAAATCATGTCACTTGCAGCAACATGGGTGGAACTGGAGGTCATTATGTTAAGTGAAATGATCCAGGCACAGAAAGACACACATCACATTTTCTCACACACATGTGGGAGCTAAAAAAGTTGATCACATAGAGATAGAGAGTAGAATGATGATTACCAGAGGCTGGGAAGAATGTGTCTGTGGTGGGAAGGGGGTAACAAAGACAGGTTGGTTAAAGAGTACAAACATACAGCTAGATAGAATAAGTTCTAATGTTCAACAGCAGAGTAGTGTGACTATAGTTAACAATGTATTGTATATTTCAAAATAACTAGAAGAGAGCACTTAAAATGTTCCTAGCTCTTGGAAATGATAAACATTGGAGGTGACAAGCACCCCAAAAACCCTGACTTGATCATTACACAGTCTATGCACATAACAAAATATCACATCTACCCCCATAAATATGTACAATGTGTATTAATTTTAAAATGTCAAAAAAAAAAAAAAAGGCTGAGCATGATGGCTCACATCTGCAATCTCAGCATTTTGGGAGGCCAAGGTGGGAGGTTTATGTGAGCCCAGGAGTTCAAGATCAGCTTGGGCAACACAGTGAGACCCCCTAATCTGTACAAAATCTTTATTTTTAATTTCAAAATAATTAGATATATAATAGCTTAATCACTTCAATAGCACTGCTGAGAAAGTGACACCATTAAATTTCAGATATATATATAATGATTATACCTCAGTAGGAAGTACAGACTATAAAGTTTAATAACTTATTCTGAGATTATGATCAACTAGGTACTCTGAGTAGGAATTTTACAGAAGTATAAACACAAATAAGCAAAAACCAAAGAAATTTTGGTTTGGAAAATAAATGGTGAATTTGATTGTTTTGTTTTGTTTTGATTTTTTGCCAGAATTTTTCAGATGTATTATCTACTTTGCCTAATTAGTCCAACCTTATAGCTGCATGAAGTGGACATACTTTATGACTCTCTTTAATCTTTCTACCAGTATCTATTGTTAAAGCAAACTAAATATAGCCTGAGAAGGACTCCATACTTCTATATTTGAGTCCTTGTAGATGAACTGTAATGTAGCTTAATAGTCAGACAAGATTGAAAACCTAATTTAGGAGTATGCACCTGTAATAATAGCTGTGGCCAATCCCAGCAGCCATACTTCAACCACTCATAGGCTGCTAAGTGTTCAAACTGTGTTCAAATAAGGCAAATGCCAACCTGTAACCAGTCCAGCCGTTGCTGTACCTCGTTGCTGATTTTTGTATGTCATTTCCCTCTTTTTGTTCTATAAATCTTCTCCCACCACATGGCTGCACTGGAGTCTCTGTGAATCTGCTGCGATTCTGGGGGCTGCCTGATTCGTGAATCATTCATTGTTCAAGCAAACTCCTTTAAATTTAATTTGGCTGAAATTTTTTCTTTTATCACTATTTACCAACTAACCATAGAGTTTTAAGATTTTCCTAAATATAAAACTAAATTATTTTTATGACAGCAAAAGTTAAAACTACTAAAATTATGCAAAGTTTCACACACACACGAACGTGTGTCATGCCATGAAAATATTCAAAACATACAAAAGCATTTGAATAATTTTGAAACCTCTAAAACATAACATGTTACAGGGACCTAGGGAAAGCTTCCCTTTAGCTTTCCAAAGGTTCACTTAAAATCAACTGACAAAAGGCAGATTAATAGGAGGAAGGCATACAAATTTATTTGATCATAGTTTTATATGTGACACAGGATCCTTCAGGATGAAGACCCAAAGATATAGAGCAAACTGTCCATGTTCATGCTTTGGTTCAGCAAAGTATGGTCAGGCTTGTAGAAATATGACTGGACAAAGAAGGCATGGTCTAAAACAAACAGACTGAGCGGGGAAGCCCGGCAAGGCCTGTCTGTCTGGATTCTTCTTGGCCTCTGTGCAGCATTCCTTCCTTCTGGGTATGGGACAGGACCCTCTCTAGAATGGGGGCTCTTGCAATCTACAATCAAACAAGGTAGGTCAGATAATTTCTTTATGACAAGTTTTTACACAGAAAGGTGGAGGTAAAGTTAAAGTAATATTTTTAGGTTTTTATGGCTGGCTTTGGGATAAAGGGTTCTGGTTTTCTATGACCCACCTTGGAGGAGGGATTCTAGTTTCTATGGCTAGCCTCAAGGGAGTATGAGGGGGCCAGAGACAGGAGGACCAGAGAAAGTCAGAGAAAAACTTTTGCTTCCATGCTGCTCTGAGACCTTCATTTTGGTGTATTATATTCTGACCCCCAACAATGTACATCACACATCACAACTGTTTTTAGTCACTATAGTTCATATGTCTGAGTAAATAGATGCATTCAGTATTCTCTGTCACTGGGTAGAGTAGCAAATAGGAGTTCATCTAACAGTTTAAACTTTTTACTAGCTCTGTAACTATAGGCAAATCACGTAACTTCGCTGAGCCTCAGTTTCCTTCTCTGAAAAATGAAAGAACTAAATTAGAGGATTGCATAAGTTGCTTCTTACTCTCAGATTCTACAATTTTTAAGTCTGTGGGTCCACTTTACCCACATGGTAAAACCCCACTATGGTGAATTTCAGATCAGTTTTGTAATTTTTAGTCAAATGAAATGTTAGGAAGTCACATATTATTAGAATTAAGGACCTAGAAATAAAACAGCTGAGAGAGAGAGAGATTAAGTGAAAAAAAGCACTGGCACATGTAAATTTCTTGCACTTTTTTTATTTCAATAGGTTTTTGGGGAACAGGTGGTGTTTGGTTACATGAATAAGTTCTTTAGTGGTGATTTCTGTGATTTGGGTGCACCCATCACCCGAGCAGTGTACACTATACCCAATGTACAGCATAGTCTTTTATCTCTCAGCACCTCCCATCCTTTCCCCCAAGTCCTCAGAGTCTATTGTATCATTCTTATGCCTTTGTATCCTCGTAGCTTAGCTCCAACTTATAAGTGAAAACATACGATGCTTGGTTTTCCATTCCTGAGTTACTTCACTTAGAATAATAATCTCCAATTCCATCCAGGTCACTGCGAATGCCATTATTTCATTCCTCCTTATAGCTGAGCAGTATTCCATAGTGTATATATAACACAATTCCTTTATCCACTCATTGTTTGATGGGCATTTGGGCTGGTTCCATACCTTTGCAATTGAGAATCGTGCTGCTATAAACATAGGTGTGCAAGTATGTTTTTCGTATAATGACTTGTTTTCCTCTGGGTAGATACCCAGTAGTGGGATTGCTGGATCAAATAATTTTTTTCAAAAAAAGGAACATCCATACCTCTATGTAACAAAAGCCATCTATGACACACCCACAGCCAACATAATACTGAATGCAGAAAAGTTGAAAGCATTCCCCCTGATAACTGGAACAAGACAGGAATGCCCACTCTCATTACTTCTATTCAACATAGTACTAGAAGTCCTAACCAGAGCAATCAGACAAGAGAAAGAAAGAAAGAGCATCCAAATCAGTAAAGAGGAAGTCAAACTGTCACTGTTTGCTGTTGATATGATCGTGTACCTAGAAAACCCTAAAGACTCCTCCAAAAAGCTCCTAGAACTAATAAATGAATTCAGCAAAGTTTCAGGATACAAAATTAATGTACACAAATCAGTAGCTCTGCTATACTCCAGTAGCAACCAAGCTGAGAATCAAATCAAGAACTCAACCCCTTTTACAATAGTTTCAAAAATAAAATAAAATAAAATACTTAGAAATATACCTAACCAAGGAGGTGAAAGACCTCTCTACAATGAAAACTACAAAACACTGCTGAAAGAAATCATAGATGACACAAAGGAATGGAAACACATCTCATGCTCATAAATGAGTAGAATCAATAGTGTGAAGATGACCATACTGCCAAAAGCAATCTACAAATTTAATGCAATTCCCATCAAAATACCACCATCATTTGTCACAGAACTAAAAAAAAAAAGTCCTAAAATTAATATGGAACCAAAAAAAGAGCCCGCATAGCCAAAGCAAGGCTAAGCAAAAATAACAAATCTGGAGGCATCACATTACCTGATTTCAAACTATACTATAAGGCCATAGTCACCAAAACAGCGTGGTACTGGTATAAAAATAGGCACATAGACCTGTGGAACAGAATAGAGAGCCCAGAAAGAAACCCAAATGCTTACAGCCAACTTATTTTTGACAAAGCAAACAAAAACATAAGACACCCTATTCAACAAATGGTGCTGGGATAATTGGCAAGCCATATGTAGGAGAATGAAACTAGATCCTCACCTCTCGCCTTATACAAAAATCAACTCAAGATGGATCAAGGACTTAAATCTAAGATCTGAAACTATAAAAATTCTAGAAGATACCATCGGAAAAAACCCTTCTAGGCATTGGCTTAGGCAAGGATTTCATGACAAAGAACCCAAAAGCAAATGCAATAAAAACAAAGATAAATAGGTGGGACTTAATTAAACTAAAGAGCTTTTGCAAAGCAAAAGGAACAGTCAGCAGAGTAAACAGACAACTCACAGGGTGAGAGAAAATCTTCACAATCTATACATCCGACAAGGGACTAATATCCAGAATCTACAATGAACACAAACAAATGAGCAAGAAAAAAAAATCCCATCAAAAAGTGGGTTAAGAATATGAATAGACAGTTCTCAAAAGAAGATATACAAATGGCCAACAAACATATGAAAAGATGCTCAACAGCACTAATGATCAGGGAAATGCAAATCAAAACCACAATATGATACCACCTTACCCCTGCAAGAATGGCCATAGTCAAAAAATCAAAAATAATAGATGTTGGTGGAGATGTGGTGAAAAGGGAACACTTCTACACTTCTGGTGGGAATGTAAACTAGTACAACCACTATGGAAAACAGTATGTAGACTCCTTAAGGAACTAAAAGTAGAACTACCATTTGATCCAGCAATCTCATTACTGGCTATTTACCCAGAGGAAAAGAAGTCTTTATATGAAAAAGATACTTGCACATGCATGTTTATAGCAGCATAATTTGCAATTGAAAAAATGTGGAACCAACCCAAATGTCCACCAATCAATAAGTGGATAAAGAAACGGTGGTATATATACACAATGGAATACAACTCAGCCATAAAAAAGAAATGAATTAACAGCATTTACAGCAACCTGGCTGGGATTGAAGACTACTATTCTAAGTGAAGTAACTCAGGAATGGAAAACCAAACATTGAATGCTCTCACGCATAAATGGAAGCTAAGCTATGAGGATGCAAATGCATAAGAATGACAAAATGGACTTTGGGGACACAGGGGGAAAGGGTGGGAGGGGGTGAGGAATAAAGACTACAAATTGGGTTCAGTGTACACTGCTTGGGTGACGGGTGCACCAAAGTCTCACAAATCATGGCTAAAGAACTTATGTAACCAAATACCACCTGTTCCCCCAAAACCTATGGAAATAAAATATTTTAAAACAGTAGTATTCATAATAATTTTACCCTTAAAATAAAATAAATAAAAAAGAAACATCAATTTCCTTCTCTCAACCCATTCTTCCACAAGCTCCTATATGCTTCCCGCGTGATCCTGTTGTGGAGGTTGCAAATTCAAGTGTATTTTCCAGGAGTTGTTGAAATATAAATTAAGCAAGGAAACAAACAAACAAAAAAACCAGAAGCTAATTGTTGTCCTTGGCAAAAGAATTATAGAACTGCATACAGGTGTGATCTCAGAGCTGCAATGCAAACAGCACATAAACAAGCTATTTGACAATGTCTAGCAAAGACCAAGAAGAGCATTTCTATAAGAAGATTCAGAGTATAGGGCCAGCAGAGGGCTGTGGGCCAATAAGAAAACCATTACAAAGCAGAGTTTGCTTTAAGAAAGTTATTTCTCTGCAGAGAAATAACTAATGGCCCACAGCAGGGGCAGAGAAGTAACTTTGTTACAGCAAACTCTTCTTTTTTAATGGTTTTCTTATACTTGCACATTTAACCACGAATGTCCCCTTACCTGACCGAGGCTTACCTGGCCTGTCCACCTGCAGTGGTCACCCCCACCACCCACTGGCTCTGTGTGGAAAAGGCCAAGACATTTTTGCAGAGAAGAACAGATGGGTGCATATGGCCGTAGGCAGTTCCGTCTTCCCAGAAGAACCAGCTTGTTCTGGCAGAAGGGTTTGGAAAATGAACTGAAGGAACCACTCTGTTCAGACAAAGCAAAAACATCACCATTTCTCCTTTTGTATGCATAATTGGAAGCTACATGTCTTAATCCTGTTGATTAAAAAAAGCTGGTAAACAGAGTGTGTTGTTTTTCTGGGACCAGCTGAGAATAATTTCATTAGATCTCATAGTTAATAAACTGGGTTGTAGGGGATTGAGGTGGGAGGAGGTAATCTTGTTTCACTAAAGAATATTTTAAGTGAAGCAAATTTGGTCAGAGATGCTATTAAAACCCTTTCAAAAACAAAATATCCTCAGCCCACTAGCCCAGTTTGACCCATGAGAAAGACAATGGTTTTAGAGACAAAACAAAAGCAAAATGTATGCAATTACCTTATTATTTTTATCAAATCTAAGCTGCTTAGACCGCCATGGTTTGCTTTTTTCCCTCTCCATATCAGGTACATATTGTGGGAAACGTGGGTAGTTTACCAAAAGGCATACTAGGAAGTATGCAGTTGTTCAGGAAAAATCACATTCTCTAGTGAGCTCCGAATAAGAAAGTGTCCTTCCTAACTCCTTTACTTATTTGCTTTTCCAGTTCGTTACTCAGCACTTCATCACTGACCTCAGGGATGAGGTTGGCTTGTTTGCAAATGGACAGATGTCCCTCATTTGACCTGGTATGCCTGTTACAAGAAAGGCTAGAGAATATGAGACCAAAAGAACATAGGGGATCAATCTTGAGTGCAGCTCCTCAGAATCTGCTTAAGGCAAGCTAGTGGACAGGCGGAAGTCCAAGTTGACAAACACTTTGAGTTCTGCTGTACCCTAGAACGGTGGGTCTGGGAGGGCAGCTGATGTCATAACACCCAAATGTGAAGCAGAAAGCAAATGTATATAATGTGGGGTACAGTTCTTTCATGGTCTGGCTTGCCCCAATGGTAAAGCTATAGCATACATAGCTATGAATATTAGATATTCATATACGTTAATATTATTCCTTTAGGCCAGGTTTTAAATATTAAATAGTAAAATGTATTCATTTTGTTCTTCTAAATGGAGTTTTTGAAAATGATTAAGTAGTAGGATCTTCAGGGTTAAAATTTGGGTAAGAAACCTGGTGTGGCTAGTCTATGGGTCTAACTAGTGGCAGATCAATAGGCTTTCAAATACACTGAAACTAAAGATTATTTTCTAAGAGTGTTGAAGAGCTAAACTAGGACTCCTGGTTACCAGGCATCTGCATGAAGGGAGCAATAAAGCATTGTCATTGTGAGGTCAGATCTCAAGCTACCAGCTAGGCATCACAATATTGGCGTAGCATATTACTTAAACAGAAAAGACAGAGTCCTAGTAATACTATATTTTTATGTTTCTCTAAAATAGATTAAACAATACTACACTTTTTATTTTTCTCTAAAGCAGATTAAAATGTCTCTGCTGTTATTTCATTCTGATTGTGTGTGTGTGTGCGTGCGCGTGCGTGAGAGAGAGAGAGAAATGGAGCAAATTGAGCCCAGCAAAAGCAAGTGTCTTGATCAGCAAGGTAACAGATTGAATTTAATACACTGGAGTTTCTTCATTCTAAAATTTCTCTACAAGATGCCTAAGCAACTAGGCAAATCAGTTAAAATCCGTGATTGATATCAAGGAGGGCAAACCACAAACAGATTGAATTTTCACTTCCCACCAGACACATGCTTCTGCTTAAAAAAGCTACCAGTAAATCATATCAATTATCACATGTGAAAACTGGTACTCATGTTGCAATTTCAAAATTTCTTCTAAAGATAAGCCATTCAGCAACAAGATCTGCAAATTTTCTGATACTAAAAGATGGGAAAAATTATATTTTCTTCCATACAACACGAGACAGAAATCACTTAAACTCAAAAAAGACAGGTCTGTGATGCAATCAGATTATCTTAATTGTATAAGCCAAATGTTTTTCTGTTGCATTATAGAAGCAAAACAGCAGGACTATTGCTTTTGCATGTTCATAGGTCAATATCAGCTCCTTAGGGATGCTGATGTGAGCATGTAATAACTTTAAAATCAGAAAAGTTGTTCAATCTTCTACCGAAGGAGAAAAAGTAATGACATTTTGAACATATCTTCTCTACCATACCAGGTCAGCCCTCAGATATATTTTGAATTGTATTTAAAATTGTTTTCCACAAAAGTTTATATGGAGCATTCTATATGATAGAGTCATACAATTTTAAAAAGTCAAGGTAATAGCATACTAATGAGCTTTAAAGCTTCAAACAGACAAAGGTATTTCCTATTTAATGCAGGAAAGCTTTGGTTGACATTGTACTTGCTCTCATGAAATGTTATAACAGATACTCCACTGAATTCATTTTGTCAACATACAATTTATCTCTACTTTGATAAACACGAGCTTTCTCAGCTGTGCTGCTCGAGCAAAAGGTCCAATTTTCAAAAAGATTTCACAGTATTGTAGCAGATGTTTTAACAATTGTTTCTGTATAAACAAATAAAAAGTCAGCATGCCCCAGAGAGAGGTATCCCACATGAAATTAATATCCTTTGTGTGACACTGCCTACCCTATGTTGAGCTGTTGGTTATGCACATTAGCTGGTGTGCCCAGGGGTCTGGAAGGAGCTCAAGGGTGAGACATGGCTTGGCCACAATCAAAAATTTTCCCAATAACTGTTTACAGCAATGATGAAGCTGGCTTCAGAGCAGACCCTGTGTGGATTGCCTCATGCTTATGAGCAGATCTTTGTAAACAGGAACCAAAAGGTTTGAGCATGGGTTGTGCAGACTACATACTATAGTCAGGCTTCAAGTGGAGTGCAGGAAGGAATTCTGGGTTCCTATGGAGTCAGTCAGAGAGATGCTTGCTTGTCCCTGAGAAGGCTGATGCAATGGTGCTATAAGCTTCAGGTCACCATGCAACACAGAACAGCCCAAGGGACCCTTGGAAAAGATGATGTTGCTTTTACCTGGTCTCATGTGACAACATGTAAGTGGGAAATGAGAACTGAAATTGCTGCCTATACAGGAACTAGCTAACATAGGTTTTGTTATCTGCTTCGAGTGTGCTCTGTGTGCATCCACACCCAAGTCCCAGGCCCCAAGAGTCTGTGTGGAGCTGTGTGATGGGCTGATGGTACCTCTTACATGAGGCCTTTTGGGAGATACTGAGAAAGCACTGGACTAGGAGTTGAGGCTCCAACCCCAGATTAGTCATCATCTGTGTGTCAGAGCTGGTCTCTCCTCTTAAGCTTCACCTTCCAGAGTCTCACCTCAGTCCCCCACTTCACAATCCCTTCATCTCTGCCCTGGGTCCACCCCTCACAGCCCTCCCCAGGGTCTTTTAAAGTCTCCTAAATTGTTTTCCTGTCTCCAGTCACTCATCTTTTTAATCCATCCTTCAAGAATTATCTTTTCAAGGTTACATTTGTTTTTTGAATACAGAAGAAATGTGTGTCTACAATGAAAAAAATGATGTTAAATATACAAAAGCAAAAAAGCCAAAATCACTCATAATCTCACTTTTTTTGTATATGAAATGAAAAGGGAAACTCCTCCTTCCTTTCTCTCCTGACACTTCAGCCCCCATCCCTGTAGCCACCATCAAGAGATTGTTTTATATTCTTCCAGACTTTATTCTGTGTTTATAGGAACACATATTTTTGTTGTTATTCTTTTCCAAAATGAAAATAGAATCAGGCTATGAATATGGTTTTGCAGTGTGCTTTTTCTTTTACTTACAATGAATAGTTTTCCAAGTCAGTACATGTGAATCTGCTTCTTCCTTCTTAACTGCTACCTGAATTTCCTTTGATGAATATTCTGTAATTGATTCAAACATTTTCCCAAAGATTGAGAGTTTTTCTCCAATTTTTGACTAGTTAACAACACTGCAATTAGTATCTTGTGACTTTTTTTATATAATTAAGCTAACATTTCTGTCGGATAGAACTCTAGAAGTAGGATTCCTTGTGAAACTGCTGGGTCAAAGGTCATGCATATTTTTAATTTTGATAGATGATGTCAATTGACAGATAGAGCTTTTAGTATGGAAAAGCTATACCTGTATTTACTCTCATCAATACAACATGAGAATGTCCACTTTTCCTCACCAAGTGTGGATGTTATTAATCAATTGAAATGTTGCCAGTTGGGTGGGGAATATAGTATCTTGTTACTGTTTAATTCTCCCTTTATAAAGGAATCCTTTTTTTTTTTTTTTTTTTTTTTTTTTCAGAGTACTGCTCTGTCGCCCAGGCTAGAGTGCAGTGGTACAATCTCTGCTAACTGCAACCTCCACCTCCCAGATTCAAGCAATTCTCCTGCCTCAGCCTCCTGAGTAGCCAAGGTTACAGATGTGTGCCACTACCCCCACTAATTTTTTTTTTTTTTTTTTTTTTTGTATTTTTAGTAGAGACAGAGTTTCACCATGTTGGCCAGGCTCGAATCAAAGTTCTGACCTCAAGTGATCCACCCACCTCGGCCTCCCAAAGTGCTGGGATTACTGGTGTAAGCCACCGCACTCAGCCGATGAATCCTTTTTTAAGCTTATTGGAGATTTATATCTGCTCTTCCATAAATTTCTTGTTTATATTCTTTGTCATTTTTTTAATGTGGCTAATTGTCTTTTTTATTCTTCTTAGTAGATTATTAGTAAAATATTCTAAACATTAATCTTTGCCTTTAAATATGTTGCATATATTTTTTCCCAATCTCTCACTTATCTTTTAACTTTCTATTACCTTTTCAAATAAAAGATAATATAAAGTTATAATATATTGATATTTTCTTCTATGATTTCTAGGTTTTCTATCATGCTGAGAAAGTCCTTCGTCATCCCAAATTATTAAAATACGTTTCATTCCTTTTCTTCTAGCACTTTTGTAGTTTGGGTTTTTTTTTTGTTTTTAATGTCCAGGTCTTAAATCAATTTGGAGTGTGTGTTTGTGAAAGATGCAGTATAGAGATCTAATTAGATAGCCAATTATCTTGACATCATTTAGAATAATCCTTTTGTCTATTACTTCTTAAATTCCACAATTGTCATATACTAAATACCATAATTTGTTAATGGATGTTTTTAATACAGACATAGTGTGTGTGTGCATATGTGTATGTGTGTGTATGAGTGTGTGTGTGCGTATTTGTTACATACATACATATGTCTTAATATCTGGCAGTCAAGTTTTCTATACCACAGATTTCATCCTAAAGCCAGCAATTATGTCTATGATCTATAGGACATAAAATGATCAATGAGATTATGTTCAAAAAACCGATTTACTTATTTAAAATGATGTTATTTATTTTTGAGCACATACAGAAAATAGGTTTTAATTAGTTCTTTTAAAATATTGCAAAAAATGTATTGTAAATTAATGTGTAAAATAGTGTTGCAGAAAAGTTTTACTTTTTTTAACATTATCTCACATTCTAGTTGAAAAAGAAATGCTTTCTGTGAAAGCAGATGATTTTCTGTCATTTCTTTAAGCTGAGACTAAGTTATTGCTACCATATTTTACAGTTCATGTCATGACATAACTCCAATTAGGAAACAATTTACTCTGTCCAGTGAGACAGAATAAATGGCTCGCAGTAGCAGTCCATTTTGCAATTGCCAACACTCTAGTCCAACAGGAATATAATTTTTTCACAGATGGGCAGTTCCCGAGAGATCTAATGTCTGGAATCTTCTTCCCTCACAAAATCTGCATTTAAAAAATTCTTTGTTCCAACCCAGAAGAAACAGTTTCACACCAAACCTTATTCTGAATAAATCCAAAAGTATAGAAAAGAAACTTTTTAAAAAAAGATTCCTGAATAACCCAGACAGAGTTAGCATGAAGGACATCACCAGCGAGGAGCATAGGTGCTAATAAACCGCCACCCCACCTTCAGCCAGGTATTCGCTCCACTGTCGCTGCAGCCACCGACATTCTGGAAGGAAAGGAACCATGGGGACAGGGTGTCAAAGCGACACAAAAACATGACCCCACTCCAGGACCCTGCTCTTCCCAACCCTCCAGCCCGCCACCATTTTTATGCAGTGTAAACATCTTCACAAAGGGAATGGATGGAAATTCATACGCCACTGAATTACTAATGTTCTTCACATTGTGAAGCTAAGTGATGAAATGTTCCCCAAATTAGCTTGACATGAAGATATGCATTTTGTCATCCACTAGGCTATCTTTGTAGCTGCTGAAGAATGTTCAGACACAGGTTGTACATAGCTGAATACAGTTTGAGAAAAGGCCTGCCACACTGTTCTTAATGAAAGTAATGTCAATTGAAATCAGTGGGCATCCCCCATCTCCATAAGAAGGCACAGATTAAGTGCCCCCAAGGGAATCTCTGCATCTGTCTATACACCTCAGCGTCTGCTCCTTCAAACTGATGGAGACAATTAAGCCAGGCATAATTTGCATCATGGCCAAGAGCTAAGATCATGCCAATATTAATCAAACAACTTTGTTGTCCTTTAAAGATTATATTGCCTACCATGCTCTATGTCTATGTGTAATGTCTTAATCCCTCCATATTAGAGGGCAAGGACCATGCTTTATTCATTTTATATGCTTTACAGCATAGAGCATACAGTTCCTTGCACTTAGTAGGCACTCAGTAAATACAATAGGCGAATTATATGAAGCATCAAACATTTTCTAGAATAGCATCGTTAAATGGATATCTAGTCACATATTACTATATAAAAACTCAGCACTCATTTGAAAATGCAATTTTAATTTTAAAGATAAAGGTTTAAAGATATAGTCATTAGAAATTTTAAAGCTACTGTACAGAAAAAAATGTGTAGCTATAAATTGTAAAACAGATGTCTCACATTCTTTTGGATAAACAATAATTGTTATGTTACATACCAAAAGAAGGCAATGCACACCTAACTTCCTAAACATTTACCTTGCTTGTTCCTCTACGTATTAAGAATTAAATAAGTAGTTGCTAAACTAAATGTGTTCTTATGCATATTTCCTTATACAACCTTCAGGATAGAGCAGTAAGCAACACTTCAAACACTGCAAAGAGAGGTGACAAACTCTGGGTCAATTACTCTAATAAGGATACTCAGGCGGCCCTCCTAAGAACCAGAGCCGTGTCAATTTTGCGGTTCTGAGCTGTCCTTTTGCTCTTAAGAGTGTTCTAGGGAGAATTCACATGAAATTGTTGACAAGATGTGGGAAGAGTATAAGGTCTAACCAAAAGGGCTGGGGTTAGAAGCATAACATTCATCCTGAAGGTAAAACTAGAGTACAGAAAAGGAAATCATGCACAGAATGCTGTCATAAGACTTGGGCAAACATGATATGGGAGAATTGGGAAGATGCTTAGGGATACTCAATGTGAACTTATTCCAGACCATCACTAGCTACATCTGAGCCCACTGACAGACTGCTGCCTTGGGCGGCATGAGTTTGGAGTTGGGTAGGAGAGAAGCCTGCTGCAGGGAAGAGCTTCTGTATCTGCAGCTGAGTGGGGCCAAGTGAGGTGGAAACTGACCAATGACATTCATTAATGGGCCTCTCCCACTATCTCACTCATATCCAGTGACCATCTATCAGAATAATTGAGCATTTTATGAACACAGCTCAAGTATGCTACTTTATAAAGATAATTATTTTGTCTTTTGCAGATGGTAGGATTTGCGAAGGACAAGCAAGGAGAGTAGGTGGAATAGGAAAAGCATTTTAAAACATTTGTAAAAGAGACTTGGGGGTTTAATTGCTACCATGATACAATGTACATCAAATTTATAAACCAGTGTATGAAATTACCATCAGTATAACATTGTCCTTGGGGACTATGCTACAAAATTGCCTTCCCAAGAGCTAATTTATTTAAACACATACAAACCACTTTTTGTACTTCATCCAATAAATTTTCAGAGATAAAACAAAGAAGACTCCTTTCTATGCCAAATTTCTCTACATTAGGGATCCTAACTGAGTACTATAGATTGGGATCTAAGGAAGACCTTGGAATTGAGAATCAAAAATTAGAATCATGGTGTATAATGCCCTAGGCCAAGACCGATAACCTGAATTAAGGCATCCATCAAAGTGAAGAGAGTAGTAAACAGCGTGGAAAATAGCCGGAGTGGCAAAGCCAGATTCAAAGTTCTAGATCAAAATCCCAGGACAACATAAGAAAGCCAGTGTGATGTGAAGAGGGTCTTTTGGCTCTCATTCATTACAGAGGATTCTAAGTACCTCTTAAAATGGGGTTCATGGGTGAGTGAGAAGTGAGAGGCAAGTATAACACAACAGATTACTATCTCCTTATCACACACAGCCTAGCTTTTCAGCCCAAGAAAGCTTACATCGTGAGATGGTTTGGCTCTGTGTCCCCTACAAATCTCATGTTGAACTGTGATTGCCAGTGTTGGAGGTAGGGACTAGTGGGAGGTGTTTGGGTCACGTGGACAGATCGATCATGAATGTCTTGGTGCCCTCCTGACAGTAATGGGTGAGCTCCCACTCTAAGTTCATGAAAGTTCTGGTTGTTAAAATGTATCTGGGACCTTCCTTCTCTCTCTCTTGCTCTGCTTCCTGTTCACCTTTCACAATGAGGAAAAGCCTCCTGAGGTCCTGACCTCAGGAAGATGCTGGCACCATGCTTCTTGTACAGCCTGCAGAACCATGAGCCAAATAAAACTCTTTTCTTTGTAAATTATCAAGTCTCAGGTATTCCATTACAGCAACACAAAACAGACTAACACACAGTTGAAACTGAAACATTAAAAAAAAAGTTTTATGAAGCATTTTATGAATGCATATTAGGAATGCTTTCCATCAGATCTCATCTCTACTTGCCATTTGATATAGTTTGGATATTTGCCCCTTCCAAATATTATGTTAAAATTTCATCCCCAGTATTGGAGGTGGGGCCTAGTAGGAGGTGTTTGGGTCATGGGGGTGGATCCTTCATGAATGGCTTGGTGTCACTCTCCCAGGATTGAGCACATTCTTACCCTATTAGTTCATGGGAATACTGGTGGGTTAAAAGCCTGAAATCCCCTCCCCCAACTTTACTCCTCTCCAACCATGTGACGCTGACTCCCCTTTGCCTTTTGCCATAAGTGGAAGCTTCCTGAGGCCCTCACCAGTGAAGCAAATGCTGGTGCCATGTACAGTGGGCCGAACTATGAGCCAAGTATTAATAAACCTCTTTTCTTTATCAATTACTCAGCCTCAGGTATTCCTTTGTAGCAATGCAAAGTGGACTAAGACACCGTTCCGGTGTTATCTACCACCACTCTGCAATTTGAACCCACTAAACAGGTTCATGCATGTCTCCCAAATGTGCCTTGTGCCTTCCTATCTATATACCTTTTGTTAGCTATTCCCCCTATAAAATAATGCCCTCTATCATACCATTTACTCAAGCATTCCCCATCCAATAAGACTTATTCAAATTCCACATCTCCCATGAAGTCTTTTTTATTCATTCCAACTTGAAATGATTTCTCACTCCTCTGAACTCTCAGGTCACTCATTTGACCTTCATATATATTATCTTGCATTATTAATTTTATTTTCCTGTTCCTGTAATTAACTGTATTCCTAGATCTTTGAGGATGCAGTGATTGTATATTATCACTCTGGATATCTGTTGTATATTAAAATACTCAGTAAATATTTAGTGGACTGAACTTAAGGTCAGAGGCCCTGTCTTGGAGTATCTATCTCTGTATCTCCCCAGCTCCAGCACTTGCTAAATAAAGCTAAGCAACTAAAAATGGTACCCAGTACTGGCTCAGATTGGTTGAAATACAAACGCTTGTTTTCCTTTTTTTTTTTTTTTTTGCCAGTATATATCTTCTTTTCTAAAGCAACACTATATTGCTAGAATTTGAAATTTTTCTACCAAATAGAATTAGAACAAAACTACAAATTACAGAGGAAAAAGTACAAACCACATTGTAGTGATATTATTTCTCTGTTTCTCAAATCATGCACAATCACTATAGGCAAATTTGAAAGTAGAGAAACACGCAAAATACATATTTTCAAAAAAAAATCATTTACAGCAGCTACCCAAATAATTTTGTTTAGTTATAATATTCATGAAAAAAGGAATCAGATGTGGGGGCCACTGTTTGTGTGGAGTTTGCATGCTCTCCCCCATGCCTGTGTGGGTTTCCTCCAGGTCCTCTGATTTCCTCCCACATCCCAAAGATGTGCACATTAGGTGTGTCTTAATTGTCCTCATATGAGTGAGTGTGTGTGTGTGTGTTTATGTGTCAGTGCGCCCTGTAATGGGATGGTATCCTGTCCAGCACAGGTTCGTGCCCTGCACCCTGAGCTGCCAACATAGGCTCCAGTCACCAGCAATTCTGAACTGGAATAAGCAGGTTGGGAAATGAATGAATGGATACAAATTGTTGTAAGATAAAAATCAGTCAAGTTTATGATAACCATACAAATGCAGGACAATGAATGAGGCAGTAGGAAAGCATTCATCAAACCACCATATTTGTGATTGTTTTTGAACTTCATGGTAGGAAGAGGTGCTCCTTACAATTTTTGCTCCTTACAAATTTCACTTACAATTACAATTAAGCATTTATTCCTTAATTTAAGCCACCACCACAACAATTGTCATCACTCACTCATTCACCAAAAATTGGGTAAATCATTACTGTGTTTTTATTAATTTTTCTTCAATATATATATAGCTGACATTTATTTCAGTACCTAGTAGAAGTGTTTTGGGTGTTTATTTAGAAGTTTGGTGATGTTTCATGACCAGTGATATGCCATAGGGACTTAATTTTTGTTTATATCAGTCTATGGTAAAAGTGGTTTTGTTATATCTTGTTGTATTTAAGTCATGGTTTCCAAGAACCTACCCACATTGTTAAGTGAGGACTTGCTGTATGATTCTACTATCTGGAGATAGCCACTATTAATTTT
This sequence comes from Homo sapiens, assembly GCF_000001405.40. Taxonomy (NCBI): domain Eukaryota; kingdom Metazoa; phylum Chordata; class Mammalia; order Primates; family Hominidae; genus Homo; species Homo sapiens. Next base: position 77,407,712 of record NC_000013.11, on the reverse strand, counting down.
CTGGTACATAATCCTTCTCATTAGGCCTTCTTTATACTGCCGACCTACCTAGGTCTTTTCTAAATGAAATTACCCTACCCATACATAGCTTCTACGATGTGAAACTTACACCTTCTCCCATTACTCCAGCTGTAGGTAGGCATCTCCGTAGAAAACTAATCAACTGATTGTCCAGCAACTAACTCAGATCAATAAGATTCCAAGTAATAATTTCTGTCTTCAGAATTTAAACTAAAAAACAGCAATAAGTTCTGAAACCAAAAGGTTATGAATTAAAGAAACCATACTGTTCTACAGGCAAGTTAAATTTACAAGAAGCAGGCATTATGCACACGCCAGTTGAAAATGGAACAGAAAGAAGCTGGGAGTCACAGTCACTGTGTGACTGAGCCACATTAAACGGCAGTATTAGAGGGAAGCCTCCAAATTCTGATCCCCTGGAGCCTCCTTAAAGCCAGAACTTCCTCTAGCTCCAGACTTCATGACATCAGCTGTATAATGGCTTCAACTCCTGGATTCCCAGGAGATTTCTCTTACAATTTCTTACGTAGCCCATCAATGAGATCTCTTTACTCAAGCAAGCTTGAATATTTTAAGAACAAAACTAAGGACTGTCCTAGACTTTTTCCACATACCTATGGAAAAAAATATATATATATATATTTTAAATACTTCATATATATATATAAATATATATATAAAGTGTGTATATATATATATACTTCAAAACATAGTACATATGCTGCTTAGAAGCCTGCTTTTTGACACAGTGATATGCTATAGACATTAAATATTAATGTGCATCTCCAATTCAAATGGCTTCATGACATTTGTTATAGCATGATCTGTTTATCCTACACTCCTGACATTTAAATCGTTTCCAGTTCTACCTTACTATAAACTTCTTCATTTGACACTCTTGGCATATATTGTATCTTCCAGTTGTTTCCTCAGGATAAGAATACATTCTTCATACAATATTATTAACATATTTATCAAAATTCTATCCTTTAACTTCTAAGCTGCCAAATATTAATTAAAATAAGTAGGGTTTGGAAACAAAAATGTGATTGCAATTACATTCTATAAGCACTGTTCTAAGACATGCAGAATAAGGATTCGTAAGGTCGAAATTCAGGGATGGGCATCAGGGATTTCATGGTTCCCCTAATATTATATGCAAACATTTATGTTCATGTACATATTTGCATCTTTCCTTAAGCAGGTCTATAGCTTTAAACAAATTCTCAAAGAGTCCATATCAATACGAGGTCAAAATATCTCTGATATGGACACTCAATAAACTTCATATATATATATATATATATATAAAAATATATATAATATATATAAAACAATGATTATATGAACTCAAATTATAATAACAAAATGCATTGAATCTATTTAGCATTATGTCTGACACATTTAAATAAATTTTAATTAATTTTAATTAATATAATTAATAATAATCATATATACCAAATTTTCTATTGCATTATACAGTCTTTTAGATGACAGATGATATCTATCATTAAAAATACATCCACAGAAATGATGGATATAAATGGATGTGAAAGATATCCACTGAAATGATGATATCCATATGCCCACAAATTAAACATAACCTTGCTAATCTATGTCCAGACTCCTACCATGCAGCTGTAGCATTTTTATTAATTGTGGACAGAGAGCAATTTATTTTCTGCTTGATAAGGTAGGTGATAGTAGCACAACGAACCAAATTATGTGAATAATTCTCATTTTCCCACCTATTTTAGTATTATCAAATAAAGTTGTCAGTCTATTATTTTATCTTGAACAACTCACTGCAGCTATACTTAACTTAGTCTTTACTGATTTTCTTATGGCCTTTTACTCTTTCTTGAGAGAGAAGATATTCTGTCAGGATGAAATAACCACCTACAAAAAGCTTGATTTTTTTTTCATACAGTCTGAGTTTAAATCACCTGAAAAAAATTCATCGGTGCACTTACGTAGATCCAGGCACTATTTTTAATGATGATACTGATAGTGACTTTTCCTGAAATTGAGTTACAGCTTCTTATGTGATGAACACATTATTTAATTACTTTCATTTGAAATTTTCTTGTATACTTTTAGTGATGTGTGGCCCACAGTGTCATTCTAAATTATTGTTATAGTGTAAATGTAGAACCAACTCACACAGAATTCCTTTCTTGGAGCCGTTAGAACAACCTCATTTACCTAAGTCAAGGGTTCTCTACTAAGAAATGCTGTGAGTGTTTGATAATTAATGTCTATATACTGATCATGGTAGGGACACATAATAATCACATTTGCTTCCCAAAATATAAAGAACTCAAGACTAACCTCAGTTTCCCCGTCTGTAAAATGGAATTAGTACCCACTTTATAGCTTTGTTTAAGGATTAAACAAGATACATATGTGAAATCATTTGGTTAGCCTCATATGTGGCACATTATAGGTATTCATAAGTGTTTGTTGTATTTGAATCTGAATTAGCAACCATTAGGAAAATTGGCACTGTTTTTGGTTGGAAGCTTGAAGCCCATGAAATATCCTAAGGATTTGCGACAGACTATACAGAGGTAGTTCTATATAATCCTCAAAAAATCTGGAAAGATTATATCAAATTCTCAGAAAAAGTCAAATGTTTTCTATTCACACTCACTCATACTACTGAAGACAATCAATGGAAAGAGAATGCCCGAAATTATCTATCTTCTGTTATTTCTAACATAATCTAAGTTGGACATAGTAGATCATATTTATTTACGTTAACCAGATTGTGTTGAGGAATAAATAGGTTATAAAATATTATATTAGCCTTAAATAAGAGAAAGGAGTTTTAAATGAGGTAGTAGAGCAAAAAGAACATCGCTACAGAAGGGACTTGGTTTTGAAGAATGAGGCCAATGGAGCTCCATTAACCAAACAGGAGGAATAATTGAAAGCCAATAAATAGTCTTAACTCATCGATTCCTACTTATTTTATTAAATTATAGTATTATCTATTCTCTTTAGATTATTTATGTCTATTATATGTATATGGCAGAAATACTATATAATGGTGTATTACTGTGACTCTCTCCCCAACTCCAAGTTCAGTGATGTTTTATTGGTGGCTTGGAATCAGCTATGATGAAGTATTTACACTATAGAAATCAGCCAGTGCTGCAAATCAGAGTTTTTTTTTCTTTTCCGTTTTACAGAGAACCAGGTGTTAAACATTTGTCAGCACACCACTGAGTATTGGTCTTCTATTTGCTTTCAGAAAGACATAAATTCTGACCAACTGGCTTTGGAAAGGAGATAGGTCTTTTTAACCTCGTTCGGAGACAATTCCCCATGAGTCTCTCCTGTTTCCACTCCTCTCGCAAAACAAGGCACTTAACAGCATTTATATTGAACTATGTTTTCAGTGATTTTTGTAAAGTTATACAAAACTTGAAAGTTATAATGTCTCTATCCAGAGCAAAAGCAGGCACACATGTTATCTGTTATAAAAGATTCCAGTTCCCGGTCACGTGCGGTGGCTCACACCTATAATCCCAGTACTCTGGGAGGCCGAGGCAGGCAGATCACTTGAGGTCAGGAGTTCAAGTTCAGCCTGGTCAATGTGGCGAAACCCATCTCTACTAAAAGAAATAAAAGTGCAAAAATTAGCCAGGCGTGGTGGCAGGTACCTGTAATCCCAGCTACTTGGGAGGCTGAGGCAAGAGAATCACTTGAACCCAGGAGGCAGAGGTTGTAGTGAGCCGAGACCACACCACTGCACTCCAGCCTGGGTGACAGTATAAGACCCTGTCTCAAAAAAACAAAAAAAGATTCAAGTTCCCTAAGCTCAGCATTCCTCTCCTATAACTCAACCCACTGCCTGTGAAGGAATCTACCTGGGCCTATCTGTCACCTCTGTGGAACTTGGGGGCAAAGGGAACAAACCCAAGTCTGCTGATGGCTCACACAGCTTGCTGTGCTGTGAGTATTTGTGCCACCCTATGCCCCAGAATTCCAATGTCTTCTGCCAGCCTCCATTAAACTGTAGCAGGCTCACTTGTTAGCTTGCAATTAGGGTGAAATCTTAGACACATCATAATTCTTAATAATCCTTTCCTGAGAAGAACAGTAGTCTCATAGTTTGGTATAACCTACAATCAGGCAAGGAGGGGCTAAAAGGGTGTTGTTGCTGTTGTTGTTTATATTTCAACATGTTGATTTTCCTAAATGTAGTTTCTAGGAAAATCAACATGTTGAAATGTAAACAACAAACAAACAAGTTGCTAAATCCTAAATACTTTCCTAGGTCCTTTTCTACCTGCCAGAATCTTCATATGCTCTCTATTCTAGACTGGGCCTCTTCTGCCTCTCTTCCATGGTATAAGCAAAAAAGTGTATTGTCAAGAGTAGGAGAGGTAAGAAGACGGGGAGGGGGGATATGTAATAGCTTAGAAGGAAAGATAATATCTTTCATTTTCAACAGTGAAAATTAAGTTTAAGCTGCCAGTGAAAAGTTTAAAAATCTAAAGACTGTTAGAAAGATAATGAAAATAAAAAATAAACCTGTTTTGAGGAAATGGCTGTTAATATCAGAGTAATCAATGAAGTCCCCTGGGGAAAATAGTGCCCAAAGTTTCTAAGAAGACATTACTTTAATACTTGTATTATTATTATTCTCATATGATACTATATCCATTTGAGAAATATTCATGTTTTCTAACAACATAAAATTTTTTCTTTTAGGGGGGTCATGATACCTGGAGGTTGTGTCCTCCTTAGCCAACCCTGAGGCTCTATGCAGCCATCTTCCCCTTTAGTTACTCTGACGGGCTGTAGGCACTAAAGGCCACTGTGAGAGTCACCAGAATGAAGATTTGTGAAGCCAACTTCTGTATTTATCACGAAAGCAATGCTTGATCCAGGTGGCACATGTTTGGAGCATCACCATCGATGTTTACGATAATTACCCATTCACAAATAAGTGGGTAGTAGCATTTACAGCTTATCACCCCCGATAGTATACTCTGACATAAAATCTCTTTAGTTTAACATTTTCATGTCAGTGACTGTGTTTTATTTCTCAAAAACAAATGAGGAAAGCATAGCAATAGAAAGATAATCCATTATACACCAACATGAACTTAAAGGTAGACAATTTTTTTTTAATCTGGTCCTCTGCATTCTTTACCATTTACAGACCTGTAAGAGCTTTGGAATTAATTTGCAGTTAGAAGTCAAAGCAAAGTTTTCATCATCTGAAAACAGTTAAACAGCAAGGAAATAATTTTTGTGCAAAACAAGAGGCTTTTTAAAAATAAAGACATGTTGATGAGCAGTTGATTTTACCATCTTTTTTTCTTTCTCATACCTCATTAAATTGGATTTAAAATATAATATTTCAAATTAACCTAATCAGAATGTGTTGCCCATATTTAACCATATAATACCCACCTAGAGAATAGAATTAAGGCACATTCGTAGTAACAACTCGTATTTCTTCTGACTTTGTCCCCTCAGTCACAATTTTGGGATCCCCAGATTCTCTTGAAATCTCTCTGCTTCTACCTGGGAGTCCTCAGGAGCAAATCTATTCTGCTTCCACTACCTGAAAAGAAGCAGCCACAGAGACCCTACATCTGCAGTAGCCATGCCTCATGATGCTGAGTTGTCATGATGCTAAATGTGAGAAATCTCTGGAAGCTACATTGTGCCAAAGCCATGGTGTACTTCCTCCTGAAAGGGGAGGATGCATCTCTTCCTTTTTGGCTTTGTGCCTAGAGACCAAAGTAGAGATGCTTAATGTCCTCATGTCTTAAGTATACCTATTCTCAATGTCTATTCTCTGTAAGTCCTGTGTGGCACTGGACCAAGGACATCACTGAGAAGCTCAAAGGTGCTAAACCACCAGAAACACAATTAAAAAATCTTTAAAAATCAATAAATCGGTGCTGTGATCTAAATGTGTGTGTCCTCCCAAAATTCATATATTGGGATTTTGACCTCCAAGGTAATGATATTAGGAAATAGGGCCTTTGAGGGGTGATTAGATCATAATGGCAGAGCCCTCATGACTGGGATCAGTGCCCTTATGAAAGAGGACCTAGACATCTAGCTTGCTCCTTCCACCATGTAAGAACACAGCAAGACAGCACCATCTATGAACCTGAAGATAGGCTCTCACCAGACATCCAATCTTCTGGTGCCTTGTTCTTGGACTTTCCAGCCTCCAGAACTGTCACAAATACAGCCATGTTGTTTATAAGCTACCCAACCTATGATATTTTGTTATAGCAGCCCCAGTAGACTAAGATAATTGGCTTTGTCAAATTTTAAAACTTGTGTTATTAAAAATCCACTGCCAAGAGGGAAAAAAAGGAATGCCACATACTTAGAGAAAATATAAAGACTATATTTTTTAAACCCTCAAAGCTTGACAGGAAATAAAACCCAAGCCATATAATTACTTCAAAATAGTCAGAATATTTGAACAGACATTTCAGCAAAGAAGGTGGATGAATGGCAGATAAGCATATGAAAAGATGTCCAACATCTTTAGTCATTAGGGAAATGCAAATTAAAACCACAGTGAGTTACCACTACACAACTCCTAGAATGGCTAAAACTAAAAAGACCGACCACATCAAATGTTGGCAAAGATAATGGAGCAACTGCAATTCTCCTCCACTACTAGTAAGAATGTAAAATGGTGCAATCCCTTTGGAAAACAAGTTGGCAGCTTTTGAAAAATTAAACATAAACCATAGGACCTCACCATTCTATATCTAAATATTTACCCTAGAGAAATGAAAGTACATTCCCACACTAAGATTTATCTAAGAATGTTAATAGCAGCTTTATTATAATAGCCCAAGCTGAAAACAACCCAAAAAAGACAACAAAATGTAGTGTGTCCATATCATGGAGTACAATTCCATATCATGGAGTATGACTCATTGAGACACACAACATAGGTGAATCCAAAATAACTATGTTGCCTGAAAGAAGCCAGACAAAAATAGTTCATACTAGCTAAATCCCTGTATCTTAAATCTGAAGACATACCAACTAATACACAGTCACAGAAAACAGATCAGTGATTTCTCGGGGATATGGGAAAGAGGGAAGAGAGGAGGAATTACAAAGTGGCATAAGGAAATTTTGGAGTGTCACAGGTATGTTCGCTATTATGATTGTGGTAATGGTTTCATAGGTATATAAATAAGCTAAAACATCACATTGCACACTTAATATATGAAGTTTCTTGTATGTCAATTATACCTCAGTAATGCTATTAAAAGCAAATGAAACACACACAAAAAAAGTTTTTCCAAACTACAAACAGCAAATATCACTTGAAGTTTTAACTTTATTTAACTAATATTAAGAATTATTAACATTCATATCAACTTCCTAACTTCTAAACAATCTGCAAACCCTAAAGTAAATGGAGATTTGGAATGACACTCTTTGTATAATCTAAGAAGTGACATTTCCAAGACTATTGAGCCCTTACAGGAACATACAAATATCCAGCCCTAAAAACCAGAAGCAAGCTATCTCTGAAAACATCTTGTTATGTGCTGTTTTAAATCAAGTCACTAACAGTCTTATTTTGCACTTTAGTGAAAAGTAAAATGTTAAATTACCACAGTTTTTTGTTTTGCTTTGTTTTGTTTTGTTTGAGACAGAGTCTCGCTCTGTTGCGCAGGCTGGAGTGCAGTTCCCCAATCCTGCTCACTGCAACCTCTATCTCTTGGATTCAAGCAATCCTCAGCCTCCTGAGTAGCTGGAACTACAGGCATGTGCCACCACGCTCCACTAATTTTTGTGTTTTTAGTAGAGACAGGGTTTCGCCATGTTGGCCAAGCTGGTCTTGAACTCCTGGCCTCAAGTGATCTGCCCACCTCCGCCTCCCAAAGTGCTTGCATTACAGGCATGAGCCACCATGCCAGGCCATTACCACAGTTTTTGAAGCAGTTAAATGATAAATTGCTATTCTTTAGCAAGAGAGTCTTGAACCAATTTGAGAAGGACTTGATACAGGGATCCTGGATGAGGAGTCCACTCTTCTGAAGTTTTAGCTTAAAAGTGATGCAGGACAGGTAAGCCTCAAAATTGAGGCTCAGCCCAGGAAGGTCCTTAGCTCAGGAAGGTCCTTGGCTTTGCCCTTGGAAAGAATTCAAGGGCAAGCCCTTGGTGTTAAACAGCAACTTTTATTGAAGCAACAGTGTACAGCAGCAGCAGAGGTACTGCTCCTTGTGGATCAAGGCTACCCTATGGGCAGTGTGCCCAGAGTAGCAGCTCAGACACAGTCTGCACTCACATTCATACCCACTTTTACTTGTATACCAATTAATGGGCAGTTTATGGCCCTGGTGGGCATGTCTTATGGGGTGGTGCTTCTGCCCTGGACTCTTTTTAGCTAGTCCTCAATTTGTTCCACTGTCCAAGCCCCACCTCCAGAGTTGAGTTTTGCCTCCTACTTCAACGCTATTGTATCATGAATATAATTTAGTAGACATATTGCTAAAGAAAAAGATGTAACTCTATAATTGTAGAAATATATGCTTTGAAATCTGTAGGGAATATGGCTTTATGCCCAGAGAGAAAAAGGTTTACTGGATGGGACTACGGTTTTGATTTATGAACATCCTGTGAATCAGACATTCTGACATAAAAGAGATTATGCACAGTGCTTGGATGGTACAGGGAAAGAGGGAAAACCTGACACTGTGTAGCAAATTATCTGTTCACTAAGGTGCCTTTCACTTGAATTTATTTTTGCCAAATATGAAGATTGCTGTTTCATATAATAGACTTTCTTTCGACATCTGCAGAATGTTTCCAAGTTGATTCATTTACCTTGGTGATACACTTCAAATCCTATTTCCAGGCTTTCTTCACAAATTCCAGGACCAAGATCAACTGCTTGCTGTGTTCATTTCTCAAATAAGAAAGTACCTTGCATCATTTGAATAGATGTGTCCTAGACTATGGTCAGCAAGTTTACATAAACAAATACATCTTCTGATGGGTGTAGTGCCCGTATAATGAGTGTACTTAGGTAGGCAGTTCCCGATAATTAGTTTGTGACCTTTCACAATAACCCTCGCTCCTATTAAAAAATCATTATAGGTTTTGCATTTAACCCTGCCTTGGAAACTTGATTTAAATTCTAAATGCTTTGGTCATGTCAATGCAGCACAAAGCAAAATAAGATCTTAAGAAGTTAACTTGGATACAGTAAATCTGAGTAATTCAAATGTATGTTGCTAACCTATGAAAGCTAAATAATTATTCAGTCCTAAATTTGTCTCTCTTACTAAGTAAAAAATTTGATTCAGCTAACACAAACTAGAAATAATTATGCATCGTACCCCTGGTTGCAGTGTCCAAGCTTAATTAAAAGGGCTTTGGTGAACTTCTGAAGGTGTTTCAGCTCTCTCTATAGCTTAAAATTTTCCACCAGATAATATAAGAAGAGAGTCAATAGAAAAATTGACTGTGTTTAGTAATAAAAGATAACCTGTTATTTTGTAGACCAGAATTTGCTGGACAAGTAACTCGATTACTATGATAATAGAAAGCTCCTAAGAGTTTTGTCTAACTTCTCTCCTTCTTAGTCAACATCAATCACAGAAAGCATTGTGTTACTGTACAAACTTATTTCTACCAGCAAGAGCCAAAGTTAAGTTAATACAGATTGATTTAGCTTACTGGAGTACATTTTTAGTGTAAACAGCTATCAACTTGGCTACGGTTTTCTTAATCGTATACTATTTCCAACTTGCTAATGCACTCAATGCACCTTATTATACAAATGTCTGTAGTATCATCATAATATTGTAATGAAGCAAATTTCATAATATTGAAGTGAATGAATGTGAATCACTGAAATATGAGCCTCCTTTGGGAATTTCTAGAATGCACATTCTAACACCAGCAAGAGAAATGAAAACAAAGCCTAGCTTTAATGATTCTGTTCTTTTTCTAGACATTCCTTCACTAAGAATATATCTATCAATGCTAGTTTTTATCTATAGTCAGAATAAAGATGAAATTTTCTAACAAGTAATCAACCTGTGCAGGATTGTATAGAGAATTACAAACAGTACATTTATACCTCCTCCAGTGTTTTCTGCCTTCTCAATTACATCCTTCAATTGCATTAACATTTCTTCTCTTGGGAATTTCCCACTAACTGATCAATATGTCCATTAGGATATTTTCCCTGATATCGTATTGAGCTTCTGCTCTCATTTGCTATTTTCCCCCCTATTAGTGCTAATTAGGTCCCCTTGGATTGAGAAGAGTAATGCTGTTCCATCTTGGCATTCCCTCTCAAATGCTGTAAACAATGATGCACAGCTTTATTTATTATGCATTGAATACATGTAAATTATCCTCAATAATTCTGGGTAGATTGTAATTATGTCAACTTGCCCTTTTTCAAACGTTCTTAAACTATCTGATCTTTTCAAAGATAAAATATTTAAAATATATTATAATACATTAGAAAAAATGCTGAATTCCACACCAATGACTTCTAACTGTAGTTAAAATTTAACAAAAAAAGAAGAGAGGCAGGAAGGAAGGCAGGAAGGAAGGAAGGAGAGAAGGAAGGAAGGGGAGAAGAGAGAGAAAAAAAGAAAGGGAGAAGGAAAGAAGAAAGAGAAAGAGAGGAAGGAAGGAACAGGGAGGTAGGTAGGGAAGGCAGGGAGGAACGGAGGGAAAGAAAGAGAGGAAGGAAAGAAGGGAGGAAGGAAGGAAAGAAGGGAGGGAGGAAGGAAGGAAGAAGGAAGAAAGGAAAGAAGAGAGGAAGGTGGTTTACAAAAAAATTAGATGCTTAATTCCACACAAAAATACATTTATAACTGTTTTCACTATGAAATTGATAAACCGAATTTTTAATTTAGAGTAAAATAGTATAACTTTAAAATTAGTCCTGTTCTTACACTTAATGAGCCTAAAAGTTTGGTGACTCGATTTTCTTTTGTATTTTTTCCTCCCCTCTGCTAATATTCCCTTAAAATGTCTTTTGTTCAAACCATCTTAGGCACTCAAAAAATGCTGGTGAATTGACAAGTACAGTATTGATGAATGATGGGGGAAATAAATACTTACAAGTAGGATTAGAATGCCTTTGTTCCATAAGATTTAATGTGTAACATGGGTTGCCATATAATTTATCTATGGGAATCTATGTTTGAATTACCTATTTTCATAATCAATAACTTACAAATAAGTCAATGGTATGAAAATAATGTGAAGGGAACTGTTCTAGACTAAAAGAGACAAAAGAGATCTAACAACTAAGCATCATGTGAGAATTTTATTTGAATTTTGTTTTAAACAAACTACCTATAAAAAGATATATTTTAGCCAACTGGGGCAATTTGATTATAGACTGAGTATTACATGATACCAAAAAATATTGTCAATTCATAAGGTATGATGATGGTCCTGTGGTTATGTAATAAAAGTTCTGTAACACTTATGGAGGCATACTGAGTTAGGAGTAAAATGATATGCTGTCTGGGATTTGCTTGAAAGCATTTTAGGAGCAGTAAAGCATTGAAAGAAATGTAGGTTATATGTGAAGTAAGTGAGTTAAAACTGATGAGTTTTGCATGCACTAGATGATGCATATATGGATATTCATTACACTATTTCCTTCTTTGTGTATGTTTAAAACTTGTACAATAAAATATTTTTTAAATAACACAAAAGTAATATGTTCTCAATATACAAAAGTACAAATAATACTAGGCGAGCATAAGTTAAAATACAAAATTCTCCCTCCTACCACCCACAAACCCTACTCTTAGGAGGAAATCACTATTAACAATTCCATGTGTATGTCAATAAGGACATTTCTATCTCTATATATACCAATTACACAGTTTTTTTACTAATATGTTTTTTAACCTTTTTTTAAAATTTTTTGAGACAGGGTCAAACCCAGACTGGGGTTTAGTGACATGAACATGGCCCACTGCAGCCCCGACCTCCTGGGTTCAGGTAATCCTCCCAGCTCAGCATCCCAAGTAGCTGGGATGCAGGCCTGTGCCATCGCACCCGGCTAATTCTTGTATTTTTTTGTGGAGACGACATCTCATCATGTTGCCCAGGCTGGCCTCCAACACCTGGGCTCAAGCGATCTGTCCACCTCAGCCTCCCAAAGTGCTAAGATTACAGGTGTGAGCCACCATCCCTTGCCTTAATCTTTTTAAAATTAAATCTATATCTTGAAGATTTTTCCATGTTAGTGAATTTAGATCTACCTTATTCTTAGTAACTGGTACAGAGTATTCCACTGTTTGGATATTTTACGTGGATGCTTTCATTTTTACATTTCCGTATGAATGCACATTGAGTCTGTTCCCAGCTTTCAACTATTGCAGGCAGTATTACAGGGAACCTTTCCGTACATGCCTTTTTGTACATGTGTCTGACCATGTCTGTAGGATGAAGCCGAAGAAACAGAATTGAGAGGCTAAGTTAGTAGACAAGGGTGTGGACACTCCATTCAGGCTCCCTGGGTCCCAATTTCAGTGCAGTTACTGACAATCTGAGTGATCTTGGGCACATTGTTTAACTGTCTCAACATCAGTTTTTTCTTCTGAAAATGAGATTAATAGCAATCTCATTTACTTTGTGATGTTATGAGAATAAATGATACATATAAAGAGTTCAGAACAGCTCATGACACATGGTGAGTGCTCAGTAAATGTCAGTGATCATTATTGTTAATATAGCTTGGGTAAATTTATATTCCCACCAATAAGAAAATCGATCCTTTTACCCTAATCTGATGGAGGAAAATCATCTCCTTGCTTCAAGTTCAGTTTTCTTACCATTTATTAAGGTTGAACATTTGTCTATGGATTTCCTGGCCACCTACATATTATTACTGTGGAATATTAATTAGTGTCCTCTGCCCATTTTCCCACTGAAATATAAACTTAGTGATGGCAGATTCCAGAGAGGTGAACAGCCACCCACAAGTCCTGATCAGACCTAAATTTCTAGATAGAGAATCTGCATACTTTAGTTTTAATCTGTCCTAATGAAATTCCAGAGGACATTCATCTACAGGTTATGTATCAGACAGACACTCTCACTGAGATGCTGGATAAAATTCTATTTTAAAACATTGGTTATTTGAACCCACTAGGAGGCAACTCAGGTAGTAAATACTTAAAGGGCCAAGATCACAGGAAGAAGAAAAGTACATAAATGCGAATTCAACATTCTCCTCCACGTTGCCCCCTGATAAATTTGCCAATTCTTAAGCACCACAGGGCCTAGTGGCCAAGCAGAGCTTTCAAATTTCAAGCTCAGAGCTTTCAGCAAGTTCACAAGGATGAGAAAATAAAAACTGATGTTTAAGAACCATCAAGGTAAATGCCTTGGCTTAAAGTTAGACCGCAGAAAGGCTATGTCCTAGGATTAAGAACAAACCAAAATATGCCAGACCTTACATGGGCCTAAATTCCATCACACATCATCTTAATCATTGATTAAATCAAGGTGATCTACCCTTACACTAACTGCCTACCAACAGAAAGAAAATCCTCTCTGGAAGGAGTATAAAATCATCCAAATGTCAACAATTTTACATACCTAATATCCAGCATTCAATCAAAAATTACTAACCATGCCACGGGACAGGACCAAATTACTGAAAACCAAAAACCAGTACAATGACAATAAAAAGAAGACAATGGAAATGGATTCACAGCCAGGTACAGTGACCATGCTTGTTGTCCCAGCTACTCATGAGGCTTATGTGGGAAGATCGCTTGAGTCCAGGAATTCTAGGCTACGGTGAGCTATAATGGTACCACTTCACTCCAGCCTGAGTGACAGAAGAAGTCTCCAAATCTTCAAAAAGAAAAAAAAGAAAGGAAGGAAAGGGAAGGAAAGGAAGAAAATAAAAGAAAGAAAAAAGAAAAGGATTCACAGACAATCACATAATGGAGTTATCATTTATGGCCAAGAAACATGAAATATTTCCTCCAAATAACAATCGTACTGACAGCTAACTTCTCACCATCAATTATGAAAGAAAATAACTTTCAAGCTATATTTCTATGCCCAGAAAAAATAATCATCAAAAGTAAAGGAGAAATTTTGCAAGATGAAAACATTCTGGAGATTGGTTGCACAACGACGTAACTATATTTAACACTTCTGAATTACATACTTAAAAATGGTTACAACGGTAAATTTTACGTTGAGTATTTTACCACAATTTTTTTAAAGTGAAGGAAACAGGAAAAAGTAAAGTGAAGGAGAAAGTGGCTTTTGTGGTATGAAAATTGTAAAGTTCTTTTTAAAAAAGGAAAGAAGAAACAAAAAGATTTTTAAACAAACAAAAACTAAGAGAATTCATCATTAGCAAACCAGCATTAAAAGAAATAGTTATTCAGAGGAAAAGAAAATAATCCCAGGTAGAAATAGAGAAACACAAGACAGAATGAAAAGCAATGTAAAGGGTAACTATAAATAATTATAACTGTAGAAAACAATAATATTCTTAAGGGAGAAGGACTAAAATACACACACATACATAAAATATACACACATATATATGAAAATAAAGAAAAATGCAGAAGTATAGTACATAAAATCAAAGTGTTCTGATGTCCTGACATTGTTCAGGAAGTGGTAAAAGTATTGTTTTGTAGATTCTATCAAGTCAAGAATTCCTGTTGTAACGTTGATGACAACCACTAGAAAATATTGTAAAATAATACATAAATAATTACTAATAGAGGAGAAAATAGACATAAAAATAATTCAAAAGAGGTAAGAAAGGGGAGAAAATTTAAACAACAAAGAACAAACAGAAAACAGATAATAAGATGATAGATTTAAACCCAAATATATTAGCAATTTAGATGCAATTTTCCAATTGAAGAAAACCATCACACTGGATTAAAAAATAAAACCCAGCATTGTTTATAAGAAACACACTTTAAACATAAAGACAAAGAAGAATTAAAAATAAAATATTGGAGAGGCATATTCAATGCAAAAACAAGAGAAAGTTGCTATTACTATACTAACATCGGAAAAAAAGAAATATTACTGAAGGTGGTGAATATTTTATAGTGATAAAAGTGTCAATCTACTAAATTGATTTAATGATTATAAATTTGCATACATCTAATAAATGATAGTAATAGCCTCAAAGTACTTGAAGCAAAAATTGACAGAATCAAAGGATAAATGGGTCATCACAATTAGATTTGAATATATCTGTATCAGTAAAGAAGAGAAGCAGAAAAAAAATACACATTTTCTTAAGTGCATATTAAACATTTGCCAAAGTTGACAAACTGGTGGGCCATAATTCAAGTCTCAAAAAATTTCAAAGAATCAAAATCATTAATCTTATGGTATTTGGCTAGAAATCAATAATAAGAATAACTCAAAAAGGGCTAGATGTTTGGGTAAAAAGCAGCACACTTTTAAATAACCGATTGGTCAAAGAATTACTCACAAGAAAAATTTTGAGCTCAATTATAACAGAAAATATGGTATATCAAAAAGTATGAGATGCAACCGAAACTGTGCTCTGAGTGAAATTTGGAGCCTGAAATGCTGATATTAGGGAAACAAAAGGGTACGATTCAATGATCTAAGTGTCCATATCAGTAAGTAAACATGTGCTTTTGATATTTAGTATGTGGGTTCTACTTCAATTTTTTAAAGCTTACTTTTTAAAAAGTTTTTAAGAAAAAGAAACTCCACAAAGTCCAGTCTCGGATTCTATACTAATTGAAAGGATCTCAAAGTCTCTTAATGTGCTTAATAAACCACAGTCAGCTCTTGCTCCTCCTTAACATGTATTTAAACTACTGTGCATGCCCTAATCTCCCAAGAGTTTTTATTTGCTTGCTTGTTTTTTCAATTTTGTATATATTCTAAAGTTAGATTAGCTGTTTCAGAACCACTCTGCAGCAGGAAAGAATAGAAAAGCACCCAGTGCTTCAGACTCACCCTTCCAGAACAGGCAGATACAAGCCCCTGAGCCAACAGAAAAAACCAGTTACTCTCCAGGCATTCATCTCACCACACCCAGATAGCAAGAAATATCTATTTAACATATATATTATCACACTAGCCTCAAAACAAGTTTTGCTAAGTATGAAATTATATAGGCAATACCTGGCCTCCTTTCCTAACACAGTAAAATGGAAAGTTAAAAGTCCTTAGTTGCATATTTTAGATTATCTGAGCAGCAGGTGTTTCATTACTGCAATGTACTACAATTGATATACTACTGTACCTTATTCATAAAACTAAATACTGTTTTGAGAAAGCAATAAATTCAGTATTTTAGTTCTAGAATTTAACAACTAATGTATCTGAAAGAGAATTTTCATAATGTACATGTGACTTTTCACTTGAAAAAGTATTTTGGACATGGGTGTATTAGTAGAAGGTATTCAAACTTATTCCCCATATAAATAGAATTAGATTATCTGTGAGCACCAATTAGGAAGGCTTAATTGAAAACATCAGATTAACAGAATATCAATGTGATATATCCCAGCCACACTAAATATTCAAGAGCTTTATAATTTTCTTGCTTTCTTTTATAGCACTAGTATGACACTAGTACATTTATATAGTTTTGTTTTAAAAAATGCAGGAAACTGCTTCTTCAGTGAAATGGCTAACTTCATTTCTCATATTTTCCTATTTATAGAAATATTATTGGAAATAATACTCTTGAGAAATCAAGTTTAGTGCTTCCCACTGTGTGCAAGCAATGCATAGCCTTAAGCATGGAGGGACAAAGAACCTTCACCCTACCCTACACCTAGGTTTCTGTGACAGCAGGTCACCTCTACGGCCCTTATAATCAGTTTTCTTTCTCTAGTCAGGACATGAAACTCAGAAAAAAAAAAAATTTCTCTGCTGTAGCCATTTCTTCTTGAATGTTCCCAAGTCCCAAGTCAATGTCTCACTGCTCTCTGAGTTATTTTGAGAGGAGGACATTCCTTCTTCCTGCGAAACACACCCAGGGACTCCTTCTGGAAGTTTGCAACAGCCTTGCAAGTGGGGAGGGAGGGATGATGACTGGAAAGAAGGAGCTTGGAGCAGATATTTAATCCCAGACCTTGATCATTGTTGAAAGGAAGATTTATGCCCTTTCTGTAATACATGTGCAACAGGCACCACCCTTTGTTGAAAGATAATAAGCGTCTTGCAAATCTCTCCCCATCTCCTTCTATTTCTTCACTTCTCATCTCCCTTGCACATTTAAACTATTAGAACAGACGCTGTACTCCTGTTGCTCACTCCTTCTGCTTCCACTAATCCTGATCTTGATGGCTTTCTGTTTGAATTCTGCAGCCACTTTTTAAAGTGCTCTTGGAAATTACCAATACCTTTCTCTCAGTCAAAGCTAAAACTCTCTTTCAGAGCAATTATCTTTCACAAAAGTGCTACCTATTTCAATGTTCAAAATATCTGGAATTACAGAATCAAATATCTATCAATTTGCAGTTAGAGCCCTTAAATACAGATAGGAAAAAGAGCCTTAAATGCTATTCAATGCATTGAGACACTATTAAAAAACAGCTCTAAATGACATTTCATAAATTTTTTTCCATTTATTTGTCAATTTTGTACTGAAGTGTCTCTAATACCATGGTAACTCATTCCTACTTAAAAGATACATTTCAGAAGAAAAATGTGCTCTTTTTGCCCCCCAGAAGCAACTCAAATAATAACATCTTCTGTTTGAATAGCATTCTACTGACACTTCATTTTCACATAGATTCTGTAATTTAATCTTTCAAATAACCACATGAGGTGGGCAAGGCAAGCCTCATTAATTGCATTTTAGCACCAGAAGCATCAGTCAGGTAGCTAACACAACATTCTGGCACTTTCACTATGACACACTTTGCCTCTTCAAGCATTCATAGCAACTCAAATATTCATAGCAACAATCCATCACCATAGATAATATCTAAGCAGCACTAAAAAACATGACATTTTCATTTTCTATAACATCTTTATGCAAGAAAATGAAATGCTGAATATAAATTCAACCCCCAAACTGTAGGACCTAAGGGATAGTCCTCCAGGGGTGAAAGTACCCAAAGATTGTTCTAATTGCATGCTCCAGAGTCTGCTATTTAGTTAGACAGGCATGAGTCCATCTCTTTCTGCTAAGGGGAGGGCTTAAGGAAAGAGTCTTCATGAGCTTACCAGGGTATGCCAGTTTGTGACCCAGTTCCAAAAACCCGAGTGGGAGGAGTGCTAGAATCTCAGCATGTAGGTCTATGTGCAAGAAAGAGGTAATTTCAGCTCCCCCTCACCACTCCACCCCCGCCAGTCCAGAAAGAACTTAGACTCTGTTTCTTGGTAAGAAGACAGGAATTCCAATGAAGGGAAGCTTGCCTAGGAAAGGGCTCACAGAAAATTAAGAGAGCCACTATTGCTCATTATTGGAGCTGGTCTGAATGACCTAAAAGTGAGTGGTTGAATTTCTCACCATAGCAGAGAAATTATGACGTACAAAATGCTCCTTATGACTCTCCAGCCTCAGCAGCCCTGAAATACTGAGGGTTCCTGACTGCATCACGCTCTTCCAGCTCTCAGGATTTGCACAAACCCTGGTTTAGAATAAGCTCCATCATTACCTACCTATCTCCTACTCATCCTTTTTGACACAGCTCAATCATCACCTCCTCCAGGAAATCATCTTTCATGATCTATGCTCCCCACCAGCAGCTTGCATGCTCTTGCAGAGCCCTGTATTTATCTTTATCATGGTTCTCACCACACTGGATTGTCATCCTCTTATCTAGCTTACCTAAAAGACTAAATTATTGGAGGACAGGGGCTATGTCTTCGCATCTTGGTAGTCACAAAAACTTAGCATAGAACCTCCACATAATATACACTGAATGAATGAGGGAAGGAAGAAAGTCTTACCCTGATTCCACCCCAGAACTTCTGATACTTCTGGCCCTTCCATTTGGTAGGATACCCAAACCTTATCTCTGAATCACTGGATTTACCTCTTAGCTCTACTCTTGCTCATACGCTCTTTGGGAATGGTTGAGAGGCTCTTGACCAACACAAGCCTAGTGAGACCCTACAAGTAAAGGGAATTTTGTCCTCCAGCCAAAGCAGGGGGATACAAACAGACCCATTCTTGCTCCAGTTACTTCTAACATCACTGCCATTACCAGGCACAGTCCCACCCAATTCCAGAACACACTGGGTTATAATTTAGCAGGTTATTAGTAGCTCTGTCTCCACCTGGTTTGCTTTGTTAAAATAGTCTGGTGAGACACTCCCTGTCTGCTGTTTTGTTTTTGTCACAGTTATCCTACCTTCCCTGAGCTGCCAATATGCCTGAATCCCTTTTACTCACATTAGCTTTTCTCAGTCTCTCTACCAACAAGCCAAACTCTTCTTTTGCATTCTAGCACTAATGCAATGACCTCAGGTGATCTGCCTGCCTCGGCCTCCTAAAGTGCTGAAATTACAGGTGTGAGCCACCATGCCTGACCCCTTGATAATGTCTCTGATTTGTCTTAGGCCAGTACTGCTTTTCCCTGTTAACCAGCTGTCCTTGAAATCCATGTGGCCCAGCATTTCAGATTCCACATCGTGCTACCTGCTTCCCCCAGATTGCTTTCCAACTCTGCCCTTCAATTTCCACACCTCCTTCTGAACTTGGTTTAGGACAGCCTGTTCTGCCCTGGGGCCAGGACCTGTACTTTGCTTTGAGAGTTTTCCAGCCCACATTCGCTCATTTTTGTCCTGTTTATTCCAAATTCAACTTTCAGAAGCGTATTTCCCACTGAACTTAAGAATAATCAAACTGAAAGGCAGCATATGACATTGTACATTTTGAAGATAATTAAACCACTCCTACATATTCCCCTAAGAGTCATTAAAAAATATTTCTGACAAATCCCACCAATAACGTTGATGGAATAGTTGACCAATCATTTAGAAGAACACTATAAATCAAGTCAAAATTAAGAGGCTGAAATAGTTGGAGAGTTTTCTCTATAAACTTTCATGTGATTACACCATAGCCATTGCGTTTTGTGGCATATTCATTTTTATAAGTCTATTTATGAGTACAAAGAGGTAGCCACCACTGCATTAGCTTGCCAGCTTGGACAAACTGCTGCTATTTTAACCACTTCCCCCTTTAGAAAGAGCATGGCCAACAGTTCCAAATTCCTAGGGGAACTGTAACTGTTTGTGCTGAGAAAACTGAATGACACATCATTTAGAAATTTGTTACTATTTACGCCACTATCAACTTGACTTTTTAAAAATTTGTCCAGAGTGATTTCTTAAGGTCCAGAGTCCAATACCTCCAACCCTACCCCAAGGATGACTGGTCGCAGGAGCAGAAAACTATTCTGTGAAACAGCCTAGACAATCAGACACCAAGAACCAACACACTCTAAGATGGATTGAGCCAGTGTTCCCCAATAGACCAAGAACATCACCCTCCCTTAAACACTGGTAGTGATAATGACTAGGTCCTGGCATCGGGCTAGAACAGCCCAAGGACTTGGCAACTTAAGAACTAAGAGTCTTACCCATGGGTCACTTTTGGAGGAAGGAAAAAAGTCCAATCTGTGTTAATAGCCGTGCCGTAGAGCAGAAAGGAACCAAGAGTTACTTTCTGTGAACCTATTTCTGACCACATCTGTCTGGAATAGAAGCCATCCTAACCTCAGATGCCTACTCATTTCTAACTTTGTCTGTTCATTCAGTTCTGCTCTGAACCCAGGTTAGGTAGCTTTCCTTGGATAATATCAGGTCAATCCTGTTCCCTTGATAATGTCTCTCTCTTTCTTTCTTTTCTTTTTTTTTTTTTTTTTGAGACGGAGTCTCACTCTGTCACCCAGGCTGGAGTGCAGTGGCACAATCTCGGCTCACTGCAACCTCTGCCTCCCAGGTTCAAGCGATCCTCCTGCCTCAGCCTCCCAAGTAGTTGGGGTTACAGGCACGTGCCACCATGCCCGGCTAATCTTTGTATTTTTAGTAGAGACGGGGTTTCACCATGTTGGCCAGGCTGGTCTCGAACTTCTGACCTCAGGTGATCCACCAGCCTCGGCCTCCCAAAGTGCTGGGATTACAAGTGTGAGCCATCACGCCTGGCCCCTTGATAATGTATCTGATTTGCCTTAGGCCAGTACTGCTTTTCCCTCCAGATTTGACCTCTGCCTCATGCTTGCCATCCAGCAATGATTTGCACCAGGGGCCCCAATCCAAGACAAGCCTAATGGCATCCAAAAAAAAAGAAAAAAAAAAAAACCTGGGCAAAGAACTGTTAAGGCTCTTTTACTAAGCTTCGCAAGCCAACAAGTTAGCCTGCCATGTTTCTTGGATACTGGCAGAAGACACAAGTCTCCTGGGTCAGAGACAAAGAACTTTATTACTCATGATGTAGTCAGCACCCTGAGCTCAATTTTCATGTTGTTCCCCCTATCCCTCAAGTCCCATGGGAGTTATATGGAGCACCCTAGGTAGATGCTACTCACATCATGAGTTTGAGCTGAGAAACCCTGAGCTAGGAAACCCCAATCTTTTATTATAAACAATTGGGCTGCAAGAAAACCTGTCCAATAAACAATTGGGCTGCAAGAAAACCTGTCCGACTTTTGCTCTGAAGGAAGACATTATTTATGGTATGCTGGACTGAATCTGCTCCAGAAGTTTGTGTCCAGAAGTAGATACTATCTCTATCTTGTTTTCACTATCAAATATCTTTTAAAAAGATTATTCAGGAAAAAAGGCTGTCAGTGCCTCTGCTCACAAGATGTGCAGAAACATTAGAAACCTATGGGAAATGGCTCCCAACACTAAGTTGAAAAAGCTAGTGAATGAATGAATGACACAATTTATGGACACCTTAGAGAAAAAAACAAAGTAATGAGTAATCAATATAAAGTTTTCATCCATTTGCCACTTTCCTAAATAAGCACACAAGCATATGTCAACAAAGGTCATTTCTGTTCACCAAGGAAGATTTTCATTTTGTTTTATTAATTTAAATGTATGTTGCTCTTTCAATCATTGGCACTCATTTGAATAAATGTTGCAAAGCTGCAAAACTTAGCAAGTGAGACTTTTGAACATACCAAGTACTATCCACTTCATGGAAACTACTTTTTTCAAATATCATTCTGTCACTCCACTCATAAATTGTTTGCACATATCTCTTGATTCTGAATATTTCTATCTTAAAGACTAAAATGTAAATGACACAAAATCCTGAGATTTAATTTAGTCAAATATAAAGAAAAAATACAGAACACTTATATATTAAGATTATGCTTCCAACTACAAAGTAGAGATGATTACACACCTCATAGGGCAGGTAGACATGTGTTTAAATTACAGAATTAGTTCCACAAGTTCTCCCCATCTTGTGTGGCTTTCTTTTTGGGCATAGCAGCTTTTTCTGAGTAAATTAAATTATTCCTGGCAGAAATGTCATGAGCAACATTCAAGGAATTCTAAGCATTATAATGGTTAGGCAGCACTTTGCAAACTATATTCTGGGAAGTACAAAGGTCCCTCATAATGTTAACCCATAGTCTGCCACTTCAAAAATTTCTTGGTCAAGTAAGTTTGGTAAACTATTATAATGGCTTCTTGCTGTAGAATTTTTCAGAAACTCTAATTGGGTTAATGTATCTCATGAATATCCTCCAGTAAGGGGGCTAGGCGTGGTGGCTTATGCCTGTAATCCCAGCACTCTGGGAGGCCAAAGCAAAAGGATCACTTGAGGTCAGGAGTTCGAGACCAGCCTGACCAACATGGCAAAACCTCGTCTCTACTAAAAATACAAAAGGTAGCCAGCTGTGGTGCTGGGTGCCTATAATCCCAGCTACTCAGGAGGTGGAAGAACGAGAATAGCTTGAACCTGGGAGGTGGAGGTTACAGTGAGCTGAGATAGTGCCACTGCACTCTAGCCTGGGTGACAGAGCAAGACTCTGTCAAAAAAAAAAAAAAAGAAATCCAGTAAAGGGTTAGGGACACCAGAGTTCCACAGAACCCAGTCAAAAAAACCCTGGACCACAACTCAGGCTACATGTGGGACAAGAATGGTAAAGTTATGGAGTTAGCTGGGAGTTAGTTTTGCAAAGGACCTTGAATTACATGCTAAGATACTTTATTGTGTAGACAATGGTGAAACATCCTTTTGACGTTCTTTTTTACTATTTGGCACAATTAGATGTAGTCATTTTAGACAGAAATCTATTAAAAGATCCTAAAAACTTTCTAGTTTGCAATAGATTACTCCAGAGAAGTAGATCTACACAAGAGAATTACCTCTGTAAACAACCCAATTTCAAAACTTAACAGCCGTCACTCTTAAAAAAATCTCCTTTATGTCTAAGAATTCCCATAAAGTTGTTTTTAAGTGAATTTTCCTTTTTTTCTGTTCTGCATTCATTGTTTTTTTTCTTCAGAGATGAGCTGAGATATCAAGTCCATTTATAGACTATCCCAGTCTGAATAAGCTCACTCTTCAAATCTCCAAATTTTTATTATTTTGGCTTATTTTCCAAAGTTTGGTCAGCTCTGGGACTGTCTTGGATATTCCTACCAAGTTGATTTGTTCTGACATTCAAGGAATATTTAATGAGCAGCTATCTGAGGCAAGGCATTGTAATAAGTGCTGAGAGAAATAAAGGGATTTAGACATTCCCTTCAATATTTGAGTGCACTTTTAAAAATTCTACTTTAGATCAAATCTAGTTTCTTTCAAGCTTTGAGTGATTTCTGCATCTTGCAAGGTCCAAGTGTATAAAGAACAACTCAGTCCATCAGTCAGTGAAAATTTACTGAGCTCTTACTATACACTATAGTTATGTATACACTATACAACCATTATGTTAAATGCTGGAGAAGCAGTAATGAACAAGTCAGCCCTAGTTTCTCCTCTCGTAGAACTTATAAATTTAGCTATAGCTACAGACAATAAAACAAAAGGGAAATTTTTGTTAGCTATGTGCCCTAAATTCTAAAAAAAAAAAGTTATTATTTTAAATGGAGATAAAACATATATGGCAAAATGTTAATAACTAAATCTAGGAGGATGGTATATGAATATTCACTTTACTATTCTTTCAATCTTTTCGTTGATTTGAAAATTTTCAAAATAAGAAGTTGGGGGAAAGATTTAAGGATAAATCAAGTCACAAAGTTAAAAAAAAAAGACTCAAATTTGTTTCCGTAATCTAATACCTCTTTATTTAGTTGTAACATTTTGAGGTTCCATGACTTCTGATTCTGTTGTTTTCATACCAGAATCTCAAAGACAGAAGGCAAAACATTACCATATGAATGAAAGTAAACTGGGATTGCATTTTTCCCTACCACGGAATGCCCTGCTGCAAGTGAACACTGTGCCTTTTGAATTTGCCCAGGGTTTTTGTAAAACGTTCTATAAAATATGTCAGCATATTCAGTCTGTGGCTAAGTAAATAAAGAGAATTACAATGTTCAAACAGGATATTTGTTGCCATTCATTGGACATTTGTTAAGCCATTTTCTAAGGCAAGTATATATGCTTTAACGAGTATAATAACCTATAACCACTAAACTCAATGCATTTGCTGTATATATGCTAAAATATATGAGGAAGAATCTCTTCATTTTACTAGTGGCAAAGACAGAACTGTAGTGTATCCAAATAAAACAAAAGATGTTAAGAAAGAGTGTGAGTGAATATAAGTGGCTTTTAACACTGTCTTTCCCTTACCCTTAACCCCAGTCCCACCAAACAGAGTATCATTATTCACATTTTTTATTTTATCACCATTTCCTAGTTGCCAGATGCAACTTTGACTCTGATGCATGACATACCTGTATTTTCAGCAAGGAATGCATATAGGAAAAAAAACAAGTGCATAAAAATGAGAGTCAGTGATTAAGAGGGAAAAGGAGCATGAAGGAATTTAATGGAGAAGAAATATAAAATCAAAGTCCTGCTACAGATATTCCCAAAGAGTAGAAATACAGGTTAAAGACTAAGTGGCATTTTGCCTCTATTCATTTACTCAAAAATGCATTGCATGTCAAAATGCATTAATCAGACACTATGCTAGGCAGAGGAGGTAAAATAATACAATATAGTTCTTACATTTAAAAAACTTACCAGATTCCAGCTAAGTACTCAGACAAGCAAAAGAGAATCCAATATGCATGCTAGGGATAAGAAGATGGTAAGTGTAGTTGAAACAGCAATGTGGACCTTGGAATCAGACGCAATTAAGTCTCTGTCATTTACAAACTACCTCCTGGACCATATTACCTAATCTCTCTGAGCTTCAAGTTCCTCATCTGTAAAACGCAAAAAATAACATAGCTTGTCCTATAGTTGTAATAATTAGGAATAAGGAATGCAAAATGTCTGGCACACATAAATACTTAAAAGATTATCATTACAAATACTTCAATAGAGGTGTGTGCATAATGATCAAGAAATACCAGCTTTTTCCCTTCTACAATTATATGGCCTGATGAATCCCAAAAGTTATGGTATCAATTCATGTCCTAAAAGAAATTGGGATTTTGAAAAGAACTTGATGATGAGGCTTTTTACAGAAATGAGGACAGCTTTGGGAGACTCAACAAGGGATGTTGAGTCCCCCAAAGGCCAATAATAGAAGAAAGACATTGCCACCCCTAAGCCCAAGCCCAGTGAGAGGTAGAGCCTTGGAAGATCTTCCCCTCTATAGAAACATTTCTGGGGTGGAGAGGACAGCTCAGGCTATCACAGTCTGATGTCATCAAAGATAACTACTGTATCATTCTCACTCAATAATCAGCTGGCTGACTGCTATTTCATTTTTTTCATTTAGATTGCCTGCAAAAACAGAAGTTGCTGTCCAGTGAACACAACAGTTTACATGGTTCATTGAAAAACAATAAATTGGAAGTGAGTGTAAATAAAATATTAAGATGATCAAATAACCAATACAAGCATTCCTGCTCAAGATGTGTGTTAAACTCAGCAGAATATGGTGGCACCATTGTCTGGAAATTGTATCTCTATAAATCAGGTTACCTATTTTAGCCACCAAACAGTCTATAATTGAAATTCCTAGGTCTTTTTGCTCATGAATTGCCGCTAAGCTATGAGTTTTTATAGTGGATTTTTTTTTACTTACATTTTTCATTTTACCTTTATCTCTGTTAAAATAGTTTTATTCAAGCACTTCACAACTTCACATCAACACACTGTATATTCATTTTAAATTAGCAGCACTTGTCTAACTTCATGTCATCTACAAATTTGATAGGCATGTCTGTTTTTCGTTTCTTTTTTTTTTTTTTTAAGAGACAAGCTCTCCTTGTAATGCCCAAGCTGAATTTGAACTCCTGGGCTCACAGGATCCTCCCATCTCAGCCCCTGGAGTAGCTGGGAATACAGGCATACCACTGCACCTGGCTTGATAAGCAAGTCTTTCTATTTTTTTCTAAGTTGCTGATAAAAAGGTTGAATCCCACAAGGGCAAGAACAGAACCATGTACATGCATTCATTTAAAAAAATCACTGAGTACCTAATATGTATGAGGCTTTATATGAATTATTGGGGATACAGACAATGTAGAAAGAAGTTAAAAGTGTTGGCTAGTGATAAATACTACAAATAAGCAAAATACAGTAATAAACTAGTGGCTAGGTAGGGTATAGGCAACTTTGGACAGGGGACTAGGGAGGCCTCACTGAGCCCTAAATGATGACAGTGAGACTGTCCTATGCATACCTGATGGAAAAGTGTTCCAAGGAGAGGGGACTAGGAAGTGCAAAGGTCCTAATGCTAGAAAAATTTATGTTTATATTATTTATATTTATATATAAATTAACTTTATTATGGAAGTTTTAAAACACAGAAAAGTAGAGAAAAAAGTATAATGACCTCAATGTACCCATCATTCAGCTTTGGTAATTATCAATATTTTATTATCTTTATTTTATCCCCTCTAGACCCCAAAATTTGTTTCTCAGAGTATCTTAAAATAAAGGCCAGAAATTGTATCATTTCACCTTATAAATACTTCAGCATATATTTAAACCCTAATTATAATATCATTATCATACCAAATAAAGTAACAATAATTCGTTAGTGTTAGAGGCTATTGGTATATATCCAGTTCTATAAGAATTGTTTCGGGCCTGGCATGGTGGCTCACGCCTGTAATCCCGGCGTTTTGGGAGGCTGAGGCGAGTGGATCATGAGGTCAGGAGATCGAGACCATCCTGGCCAACTCTACTAAAAAAAAATACAAGAATTAGCCGGGTGTGATAGCGTGCACCTATAGTCCCAGCTACTCGGGAGACTGAAGCAAGAGAATCGCTTGAACCCAGGAGGCAGAGGTTGCAGTGAGCCAAGATCACACCACTGCACTGCAGCCTGGGTGACAGAGCGAGACTCCACCTCAAAAAAAGAAAAAAAAAGGAATTGTTTCTTGTTTTCAAAGAGCTTACAATCTAAAGGCATGATAAGATCTTTATTTAAATAACCAAGAGAAGCAAACATCATAAGAAAAGTAGATATAAAGTGCCCTGTGAGGTCTAAGAGGGAGATGGGAATGGAGACTTCAGCACTATGATAAAAATCGGAGCCCAGAATCAGATATGTGACCAGGAAATCAAGGTGATATCCTGACATTGAGGAAGCTGAGGACCCAAAATTTAGTCCAGCACCTGGTGAAAGGGCTTGGCACAGCTCAGAATGGCAGGAACAGAGAACATAGAGACAAGGAAAGGAGAATCAGTTATCCTGGTCTCAACTGAGGGGCAAATAAAAATCCCCAGTGAATGGCCCAAGTGATGAAACCAAGAAGGGTTAGGAATTGGGGACCCTCAGCTGGGATGCACTGGTCCGGCTGAATCTGTTGTTCACTGCTGGCTTCTCTTTGCATTGTAGGGGACTATGTTGCATGAGTTGTTAAATATTTGAACATTACCATTGACTACAAATGATACTGTCATAACATTGGCTTTTACCCAGCGGTATTCCTAGTGCTTAGGTCAATGCCTGAAAGAGAGAAAACATTCAAATATACTCTGATAGAACAGATTGGTGCATGAATTTCATATTATTGTTCAGACAGTTTGTTATGCTATTTCTAAAGCTATATAAAAAAATTCTCTTATTCATTCATTTACCTTAGTTTTTAAAGCTCCTATTGTAATAGTTTCCAGCTGCGATGACAGATTTCCTCTTTAACCCAGGCATAAATCGACTCTAAGAGAAAAATGAAGAAAGAAAATTTTAGAGAAATGTTTTTCTCAATATGCCTCAAAAAGTATACACTCCCTAGTGATAATCAGAGAACAATCTTAAAAGAGAAACTCAAGATTATTGTCAAATTAACATGGCTGTCAATTACCAGATTGGTGCAAAAGTAATTGTCTAATTTTTGTCATTGAAAGTAATAGCAAAAACTGCAATTACTTTTGCACCAACTTAATAGATACTACTCTCACTTGCAGAAGCATGAATGTAAAAGTACATCTTAACAGAAAACATCTGATTAATAAATGCTGTTAGCTGAAAGAGAAAATTCCTTCTTAAAAATCATAAAGCAGTAATATCTTAAGATTACTTTATTCTTTCATAAAGCAAAAGTTACCTGGAGATCATATATTTCTATCATTTCTAATAGTATTATAATCTTTCTTATTACTCATCCACTATTGGAAAAAAATATGGAGTCAGTGTGACTATCATTTGTTGCTTACACAAACATTTAATTCACACTCTCATTTACATAAAGACTGTAATAGCCAAACCTGTTCCTGAGCAAGTTTTATCTTGTATGGGAGGGCTAAGTCAATTAAGCTCCTAACACAATGTGTTAGAATAAACAAGGCTGGTTAATAACAGGTCATTAAATTATTGGGCAGGTAACACCTTTGTTACATAAACAAGTGTATAAAAGTACAGTGCTGAGTAAGAACTTTGGTTTGGTTCAGAAATCACTGAAGGTCATAACTTAAAATTATATGTAGTCTTTTAAGGCACCCGCCTCAGAAGGTTGCATGTCTGTTTTTGTCTGATAGGTAAACATTCACATTAAATTAGAGTAC
Organism: Homo sapiens; assembly: GCF_000001405.40. Taxonomy (NCBI): domain Eukaryota; kingdom Metazoa; phylum Chordata; class Mammalia; order Primates; family Hominidae; genus Homo; species Homo sapiens. Next base: position 77,378,587 of record NC_000013.11, on the reverse strand, counting down.
ATTTTTGCTTTACAATAACAAAAATAAAAATGCAAAGTGCTATTCCCAGAGTTACACAGAAAGTTACGGCCATCACCTGCATCGGTCAGAATCCCAGCTAAATATAGATGAGTAAGAAGAGGAGTTAATGGAGGGACTGTTTAGAGAAGTATGAGCTGTGTTCAGGAATCAGCAAGTGATAATGAAGCATCCCAAAGCTAAAATAATTGCAAGCCATTCCCTTCTACATATGTTAAGGGGCAAGGGTAGCAAACGATTACTAGAACCTGAAGCGGTTTGCAGCCTAGGTGTAGAAAAAAGACGCTGAGAAGAACTTGTGGACGCACATAGAGCAAAGCAGCCACAAGGCTCTGTAGAGAGAGAGTTGGGTAAGTAAATGCCCTAACCTCACTCTCCTGCCCCTCCTGTTCCTTTCCCATGCCTCCTATTGGCTGAACCCAAATGGAAGCCAAAAGGCAAGGGAACCATTTGATATAGTTCACAAAGGTTAGTCAAAGCGGGATAGAGAAGAGTGGAGAGTGGGTCTGGAAACCAACGAGAAATATTCAACACATACCCACTTCCACCATTATAACTCCAGTTTTACTAGCTATATACATATTTTTCAGCAGTTTCTCTCATCCCCATGAGGCCAAATCAAAAAAAGAATCTAGCAGGTATTTAGGATGCTCTATCCAGACTTTAGCACTATATTATAGGAAACTGTTACAGAAAAATATAAAGCAGAGGCCGGGCGCGGTGGCTCACGCCTGTAATCCCAGCACTTTGGGAGGCTGAGGCGGGTGGATCACGAGGTCAGGAGATCAACACCATCCTGGCTAACATGGTGAAGCCCTGTCTCTACTAAAAAATACAACAAAAATTAGCTGGGCGTGGTGGCGGGCGCCTGTAGTCCCAGCTACTCGGGAGGCTGAGGCAGGAGAATGGCGTGAACCCGGGAGACGGAGCTTGTAATGAGCTGAGATCGCGCCACTGCACTTCAGCCTGGGCAACAGAGCGAGACTCCGTCTCAAAAAAAAAAAAAAAAAAAGAAAGAAAGAAAAATATAAAGCAGTATAACATGTGGACTCTGTTCCCAGGGTCTTTAAATTAGTTGGAGGGTAAGATAAAGACATGTAGCATAAATAGGAGCAAGATAAATAACAAGTTGTAGATCCTAAAAAGGACTGAAGATTTGGGTTTAGGCAAGGTCAAGTGTCTCCTCTAAGACATTTTTTAGAAAGTCTGGTGCGTAAATTGCAGTTTTTTCTATTTTTATAGATAATTCAGGAAAAGGAAGTTGCAGAGCAAAGATGTTCTTTAAGAGTGGCAGTCACTTAACATCCTTAGAAACATTCTAGTAGCAGCTTGGAACTTTGCCCAGCCTATTTTGCTGGATAACCTGTTCCAGGATAGGAATGAAGGTGAAGGAAGGAGAAATTGCCAATTCTTTTTACTCTCTTCACATGCACTTTTCTGCAAAGAGCAAAGACTGACCATTGCCATAGCATCTGTTTTCAACATTGTAAGGCTGTCACATCACAGCCAAACCCAACCTCAACTGGTGGAAGCTATCCCCCCACCTAAAACACTTTCACAATTCCCTCATCATGCAGATGGCTACTGAATTCTTCAAGACTCCACTTAAACAAGAACTCTACAGTTTTTACTGAATATTCCAGGCAAAGCCAGACCCTCCTCTCAACTTTAACCTCCAAAATGATGTAAAAGGTTTACTTTTCAGTGATGCCCTCTTTCGTATGATCACTTCTGAAACAGTTACATTCTATCTTCTTTTACTTCTTTATCCCAGCATAAAAATGTCAAAGAATATTCATATGACTATCTTTGTGCAGAATCAAAAGCATTGCCTAGAGAGATTTTTTTTCCTGGTTAATAAAAGTCTCTAGATGAGAAAAATAAGAACTTGCAATAACTATTGTATCTTCTGAGATAATAACTCTAAATTTGAAAATATAGAAACTTTTAATCTAGCAATGAAAGAAAAACCCTCTTCCCCCATCAATCTCATTCTTTATTGAATAAAAAGCTATTACCCAATCATAATTTATTTATTGTTCATAGATTTTCCATAGCAATAATTAAGATTGTATTTTTTGTTTGTTTGTTTCCTAAGCATACCCATGGTATCTAATGGCTTCATAACTTAGTAAGTCACCATTGAGCCTGATTAATTTCGAGAGAAGAAGAACAGAAGTACCTATAGAGAGATGCTCAACAAATACCTTTTTATTTGAAAACTAACTGTGATGAAACCAAGGAGAATGTGTCCTGGAACTTCAAAGAGCAAAATAATCTAAATGGAATTAATATATAAATCAAATTGATGCAAATATGAAGAAATAATACTTTTTTCACTGCATCTCCATTTAGAATTCTGGAAAGTATGATCATTTGGAATCTAAAACAAGTTGGGGGTGAGAGACGTTGAAATGGCTCCAACTTCATTCAGTTTTCCGTTTGAATCAGGTATGTGTCTGGCTGAATACAGATTGGTTTACTTAAAGCAGGTAAAAAGCTACCACAACTTCCAAAGCAATTTGGAAAGAAATCAGAGCTACTCATTCATTCATCAAACATTTATTGAGCGCCTGGCCTAGGCCAGACACTGTGCTTTGTCTCCCTCCCTGCCTGTATATTCTAGTGGGGGATGTAAACACATTGTTAAAATTATACATGTTATATGCTGAAAGGAGAAGCAAGGAATTAGCATTCATTAACAGGCCAGACACATTATACACAGAATTCTATTTAATCTTAACAATGATCCTGCCCACTAGGTATTATTCATCCAATATTCCAAATGAGAAACTAAGGTCAGAGAGACTCAATGAGTCACCAAGGTTACCCTGCTAATGAGTGGTGAGGCTTAAATGCCAACTAAGATCTCTTTGACTCCAGAGTTCATTCTCTTTTCTCTGTACAAGTGGTTTTTAGGATTTAAAAAAAAAAAAAATGGACTCTTTCTTCAAACATAATACTTTTCTATGGAAACTCTGTGTAGAAAAAAACAAATAAAGTAGATTTACTCTGTTGTAGGAACCAAAACATCTTTTTTCACTCATCACTAGGTTCAAGCTGATGCTCCTGTAACAAAAGACAAGTTACCAAGAGAAATGCATACACATTTATTTAATGTACATTTTACATGATACAGGAGATTTCAATAATGAAGACCCAAAGAAACAGGGAAACCTGCATATATTTATTCTTTGGTTTGATCAAACGTGAACAGTTGTGAAGTATGATAAGGACATTCCTTTTCTCTGGGTCTAAGGAAGGTACCTTTTGAATGAGGACCTCTTCAGAAGAAGATCGGATAATTCTTTTAGGGCTTGCTTCATGAGAGAGGAGCAGGGAAGAGCCAGAGAGACCTTCCTGCTTCTGCTGTTTTCTCAGATGCCAAGGTGCCACATTTTTGGGGCAGCACTTTCTGAACCCTGTCATTATTTAACACTTGAGTTGGTTGGAAGGCCAGGAAGTCTGCCTACCCAAATGCCAGTTACCACACACATGCACACACACACACATCACATGAGGAGACTCCTGAGGCACCAGTGCAGAAGTCATAGTGAAAAGTCACCGTCAGACACTATGTGTGGGGGAGCAGAGCACGGTAGGAACACAGAGTGACTGATCTGTGTGGTGCAGCCAAGCCTATGTTCACAGAGAAAACTGACAGAAATGGAGCAGGCTAAGAAGGGGAGAGGAACACTCAGGAAAGAAGAAAAGTGGTATGGACACAAACATTGAAAAACAAGGCTAATTTGGGGAATATTGAGAAGCCTAATCTCTGTGGCTGGCAAATACCAGGAAGTAGCAGATGGTGCCATTGCAAAGTAAGGTTGGGTTAAATTATAAAAATTGAGAGGCCTTTTTAGGCATGCTGACAAGGAGTGTGATGATATATTATGTATTCAAATTCAGATTTCAGAAAATAATGCAAAGATTATAAAATATTAAGATAAAAACATTGATGTATCCTACAGAGAACAAGCTTTTCCTTTAAAGAAGACCAAATGCCCAGCTTTTCTAATGCCAAAAGAGTTATTGTTATGTAAATCACTATTTATATTTCTGTTAACTAGGTCTTGTTCTCAGCGAAAAAAGAGAAAGTTTTTATCCTTAAAAATGGTAATTAAACCAATTTAAAAATATACAATAAAACTCAACAAAATTGCAAAATATGTTTTCCTATAGTTCATACTTTTCAGTGACCCCACTTTCTATGTTTTCAGTATATGATGTGTCCACAATTTGTATTGATTGATTATTTTTTCTTTTTGCCATTCAGTAATATTCAGTAATTAAGTAATTTTGTTTTTCAGTAATAGTAAATACCCTCATCATTTGTTAAAACTTGTACAAAAAGCAAATAGCAGTCCACAATGCAAGACAAATAAGCATTTAACACTTTTAGAAATTCCTCCCAAGCCAACATATAAGTCTAGGTTTTTTTTTTTTTTAATCATGGCTGATTGGATCTAGACTTACTTCTAATTCTAAGGTCTGTACACAGGGCAAACATTGTGACTCTGTAACCGGTAAAACTGAAGCATTTTCTTTATGCTCAACAATATCATCTGGTCTCTGTAGTTGATCTTGTTGACATTAATTTTGCTGAGGCAAAATTAATATAAGTGAAGAATTTATTTGGCTTGAGGATTCCAACCCAGAATCATCGATTCAAGTTGCTTTGAATATTGCTCTAATTAGCAGGAGTTACAAGTAGGTGTTTAAAGAGAAAGAAGAGGCCATTTCTGAGCTGTTTGCTGATAATTTACATTAAAATAACTTAAGCTATTGACTGGCTATCCATTATTAAGCTATTGTGTGCACGTTATATTGTCCAGTGCAGCATTAAGTTAATTTATAGCTACTTGTGAAAATAGCAAGCAGTTTCAAGAGATGAATAGGTAGCTCTAAAGGGAGGCAGTATACATGATTACTGTCTCAATTCCTCTTTGGGCCTGATCATTTCAAAGGACTCTCACTCTTCAAATATAAGTTCTTTTACTTTCTCAATTTTCCATTCCAATTCCTGTCTCCTCCCAATGGGAGTGAGGACCCTGAACCTCCTCCTGCTAGAACTGGGGCTCTGCTGTTCTTGCTGGTCCCTCCAAAAAGGGGAAAAGACCTATGAGCAGAGTTCTGATTCACATAGAGTAAATTATGAATCCCACTTCTAGCCAGATTGTTGGAGTATCATCACTGCCAAGATATTCCTCCTGCTGTGCTCACAAAAAAGACTACCTCCCACTCCAACGCTACCCTCAACTTCCAACCACTCTCCATCTGGCTTCCTTCTTTTCCTAACAGCAGTTACCCTCAGATCACAGCAAGTGTCATGAAATCAGATAGTTTTATCCACTAAGTCATGGGTCACTCTTGCTAAAAAGTGAAAAAGGTAGGGATTTTGTCTTATGTTAATGATCATTAGCATCTAAATGAGTGGAAGGCACTAGGGCTAGTAAGGCCAGAAGCAAAAATTTTAAAGTTGCCTTCTTCTAAATTCACCAGTATTTGTTATCTTTGCATGACCTACATCAAATGTTAAACCCTTCAAACCCTGCTATTCAATGGAAATAACTTCATTACTAATGGCTAATGTCACCCAAAAGACCACCAGAATGGCTAAGTAGTAGAAAGGAGAGCTTCATTGGTGACATCAGTTTGCAAGCCCAGAAGAGAAAGTCTCCAGCATTGAACAAAGATGCTCCCTCTTCAAAGACGGGAAGAACGAGTTGGGTTTTATTGTTGATAGTCTCCAAATTACACAATAAAATCATACATGTTCAGCAGGTTTCGGAGAAAAGCTTTACATCTTTATGTAGGGAGCCAAATGCATGGTTAAACATGTATGTAACATACATCCCATGTTCACCTTGAGGCAGGATTTTAGCATTAAAATGAGGTGGAATTTGGTTCTTACATCAAACAGTGAATCATAGGACACAAAGACAGTTTGTGTGCAGCCTCTATAATTTGACTGAAACTGGCTTAAGGTCTGCAGTCACTTAACAGAAAAAAATATTTGTAAGACCAGTCCTCTATCCAGTCAGAGTTGAAGTTGTCTGGATTGTAAATCAGAGATAGGAGGGGTGTGATAGCTCCTGTGGTTAGAGAGTTTAGCAATAATTTGTTTTTCTTGTAGCCATGGGAATCTATAAATCTGCCATGCCAGCTGGGTCCTAAACCCTCAACTAATAGGCAACTTTTTAGAGTCCATCTTAGTTAATAAAGGAGCATCTATTTTGATCTCCCAGATCACACTGAGCGCTTATGATACACCTGGCAGATAATATTTTTTATTGAGGTATCATTTACATACCATAAAATGCACCATTTTAAAGTGTACAATTCAGTGGATTTTTTTAGTGTACTCACAAGGTTCTGCAACCATCACCACTATCTAATTCCAGAATGTTTTCTTCACTCCAAAAGAAACTTATATATCCATTAGCAGTCACTCTCCATTCCTACTTCCCCCAGCCTCTGAAAATCACTATTCTACTTTCTGTCTCTATGGATTTGCCTATTTTAGACATTTCATATAAATGGAATTGTAGAATATGGCCTATTATGACTAACTTCTTTAGCTTTGCATAACGTTTTCAGGTTAATCCATGTTGTAGCATGAATCAGCACTTCATTCATTTTTATGACTGAATAATATTCCATTGTGTGTGTTTACCACATTTGTTTATCTATTCATCAACTGAGAGACATCTCCATTGTTCCCACTTTGGGCTATTATTAATAATGGTGCTCTGAAGATCTGTGTACAAGATTTTTTGTGAACCTATGTTTTCAGTTCTCTTAGTTATATATCTAGGAATGAAAATTCTGGGTCATATGATAGGTAACTCTCTGTTTAACTGTTTGAGGAGCTATCAAACTGTTTTCCAAAGAGACAGCGTGTTATTTTATATTCCTGCCAGCAATGTAGAAATATTCATTACTGTTTTTTTTCAGTAGCCACGCTAGTGGATGTGAAGTGATATCTCATTGTGGCTTTGATTTGTATTTCCCTAATGGCCAATGATGTCATTTATAAAAACAACAATAATAATAATCAGGAAAGTGTTTTTTGTGAAAAATAATAATAAACTATTTATATGTTAACATACTTTTCAAAACTGAAAAATAATTAGGCTGGTATTATTTTACATATTGGCAAATCCTTTAATATTTTGCCAAATAGAAAAGAATTCAGATTTCCATATCTGCTTCTACATTCAATCTGGTCTAGTACATTGTCGTGATTGAAGTACATGAAGAAAATCCAGTCTTATGTAGACTCACAGTTGAAAAAGAGAAGAGTATTTCAGTAGCCTTTCCAGATAATTGTGGATATTATTCTTTGATAACGACATCAAAACTGCACAAGTGATAGTTTCTTAGAGGTTAGTTGCAACATGGAATCTAAAATCATAGCAGTGAACTTTACATTCTCTGTTACAGTAAAATCTATTGATCTGTCTTGCACTTTGAGTGGATTTCTTACCCATGATTTTGCAACATCCTGCCTTGGTCGTTTGGCAATTATTGGCTCACTGAGCTATATAGATCTTCTAAATACTGACATAGTTCATTATACCATACCAAAAAAATCACATTTATTAATTTCACTAACAATCATTAGAAAAATTGTTAAGTGTTAGGATACTGTCTAGTTCATGGTGGCTGATAGAAATTTTTCAAAATTCTAAATTTTATCACGGGAAACAAGTATTATTGTCTTCTTGAAGTGACATGTTCATTTCATTCACTTTGAAGAAAATATCTGCCAAATAGCCAAGAATGAAAGATCATATTTGTCATCAATCTTTTTTTTAATCAGGTCAACTTTTATTTTAGATTCAGTGGGTATATGTGCCAGTTTGTTACATGGGTATATTGCATGATGCCAAGATTTGGGTTACGATAGATCTTGTCACCCAGGTAGTGAGCATAGTACCTAGCAGTTTTTCAGCTCTTCCCCTCCTCCCCCACTTCCCTCTCCAGTAGTCCACAGTGTCTATTGTTGCCATCTTTATGTCCTTGAATACCCAATGTTTAGCTTCCACTTATAAATGAGAACATGTAATATTTTGGTTTTCTGTTCCTGCATTAATTTGCTTAGGATAAAGGACTCCAGCTACATCCATGTTGCTGCAAAGGATATAATTTTGTTTCTTTCATGTCTGTGTAGTGTGTACGACTTTTTATTATCCAATCCACCACTGATGGGCACCTAGGTTGATTCCATGTCTTTGCTATTGTGAGTAGTGCCATAATGAATATACAAGTGCATATGTCTTTTTGGTAGAATTATTTGTTTTCCTTTGGATATATAGCCAGCAATGGGATTGCTGTGTCAAATGGTAGTTCTGTTTCTCATGTTCTTTGAGAAATCTCCAAGTTGCTTTCCACAGTGGCTGAACTAATTTCATTTCTACCAATAGTGTATAAGTGTACCCTTTTCTCCACAGCCTTACCAGCATCTGTTGTTTTCTGAATTTTTAATAATAGCTATTCTGACTAGTATGAGACGGTATCTCACTGTGGTTTTTATTTGCATTTCTCTAATGATGAGTGATGTTGAGCATTTTTTCATTTGCTTGTTGGCCACATATATGTCTTCTTTTGAAAAATGTGTGTTCATGTATTTTGCCTACTTTTTAATGGGGTTGTTTGTTTTTTGCTTGTTGAATAAAGTTACTTACAGATTCTGGATATTATAGCTTTGTCAGATACATAGTTTGTGAATATTTTCTCCCATTCTCTAGACTCTCTGTTTACTCTGTCCATAGTTTATTTTGCTATGCAGAAGCTCTTTAGTTTAATTAGGTCCCACTTGTCAATTTTTGTTTTTGTTGTAATTGCTTTTGATGACTTAATCATAAATTCTTTCCCAAGGCCAGTGTCCAGAATGGTGTTTCCTATGTTTTATTCTAGGATTCTTATAGTTTGAGGTCTTACTTTTAAGTCTTTAATCCATCTCGAGTTGATTTTTGCATATGGTAAAAGGCAGAGGTCTAGCTTCATTCTTTGGAATGTGACTAACGAGCTATCCCCAACACCATCTGTTGAATAGGGAGTCCTTTCCCCATTGTTTGTTTTTGTCAACTTTGTCAAAGATTGGACAGCTGTAGGTATGAGGTTTATTTACAGGTTCTCTATTCTGTTTCATTGGTCTATGTGTCTGTTTTTGTACCAGTACCCATGCTGTTTTGGTTACTGTAGTCTTTTATAGTATAGTTTGAAGTTGGGTCATGTGATGCTTCCAGCTTAGTTCTTTTTGCATAGGATTGCTTTGGCTATTCAGGCTCTTTTTTGGTTTCATATGTATTTAAGAATAGTTTTTTCTAATTCTGTGAAAAATGGCATTGGTAGTTTGATAGGAAGGGTGTTGAATCTATAGATTGTTTTGGGCAGTATGGCCTTTCAACAATATTGATTCTTCCAGTCCATGAGCATGGAATATTTTCCTTTTGTTTCTTTCAGCTATTTTTTGTAATTTCTTTCAGCTATTTCTTTCAGCTATATTTTGTAATTCTCCTTATAGAGATCTTTCATCTCATTGGTTAGATGTATTCCTAGGTATTTTACTCTTTTTGCAGCTATTGCAAATGAGATTGTATTCTTGATTTGGCTTTCAGCTTCAACATTATTAGTGTATAGAAATGCTATTGACTTTTGTACATTGATTATGTATCCTGAAACTTTACTAAAGTTGATGATCAGTTCCAGGAACCTTTTGGCAGAGACTTTTGAATTTTCTAGGTATAGTATCATATTGTCAGCAAAGAGAGATAGTTTGACTTCTTCTTTTCCTATTTGGTTGCCTTTTATTTCTTATTCTTGTCTAATTGCTCTGGCTAGGACTTGTAGTACTATGCGAATAAAAGTGATAAGAATGGGCATCCTTGTCTTTTTCCATTTCTCAAGGGGAATGGTTCCAGCTTTTGCCCATTGAGTATGTGATTGCCTGTGGCTTTGTCATAGATAACTCATTATTTGGAGGTATGTTCCTTCATGCCTAGTTTGTTGAGGGTTTTTGTCATGAGGGATATTGAATTTTATTGAAGGCTTTTCCTGCGTCTATTGATATGATCATATGCTTTTTGTTTTTCATTTTGTTTATGTGGTGAATCACATTTATTGGTTTGCATATGTTGAACCAACCTTGCATCCTAGGAATGAAGCCTGCTTGATCATGGTGCATTAACTTTTCGATATGCTGTTTGACTCAGTTTGCTAGTATTCTGCTGGGGAATTCTGTGTCTATGTTCATCGGGGATATTAGCCTGTACTTTTCTTTTTTTTGTTGTGTCTTTGCCAGGTGTTGGTGTCAGAGTGATGCTGGCTTTGTAGAAGGAGTTAGGGAGGAATCCCTTCTCCTCAATTTTTTGAAATAATTTCAGTGGGATTGGTACCAGCTCTTCTTTGTACATCTAGTAAAATTTGGCTGTGAATCCATCTGGTCCAGGGCTTTTTTTTTTTTTTTTTTTTTTTTGGTTGGTAGGGTTTTTACTACTGATTCAATTTTGGAACATAACACTGATCTGTTCAGGTTCATTTTCTTCCAGATTCAATGATGGGAGGTTGTGTGTTTCCAGGAACTTATCCATTTCCTCCATATCTTCTAGTTTGTGTGAGTAGAGGTGACATTAATAGTCTCTGAGGATCTTTTGTATTTCTAGAGAATTGGTTGTAACGTCACCTTTATTGTTTCAGATTGTGCTTGTTTGGATTTTCTCTCTTTTTGCCTTTAATCTAGCTGTCACCTATTGATCTTGTCTATCCTTTGAAAGAACCAATTTTGGTTTTGTTCATCCTTTGTATGGATTTTTGGGTCTCAATTCTGTTCAGTTCTGCTCTGATTTTAGTTATTTCTTTTCTTCTACTAGATTTGAGGTTAGTTTGTCTTGTTTTTCTAGTTCCTCTAGCTGTGATGTTATGCCATTAATTTGAAATCTAACCTTTTGAGGTATGCGTTCAGCTCTATAAACTTTCCTGTTAACATTGCTTTTGCTGCATCCCAGAGATTTTGTTTTGTTGTTTCTCTGTTTTTTATTTCTGTGAAATAATTTTTCTATTTCTGCCTTAATTTCATGTACCCAAAAGTCATTCAGGAGCAAGTTGTTTAATCTACATGTCTGTCAGTCATACTTTCCAGAAAAAAAAATCATGTTCCAATGCATGGAGGAGGCTAATACAGTTTGCAATTTAAACAATGACACAACTGTTTTCCTCAAAATATCTCTATATATTTTGATATGCAGCCGAAGTGTTTATATATACTTCTCAGCTGGGTGTGATGGCTCAGGCCTGTAAACCCAGCACTTTGGGAGGCCAAGGTGGGTAAATTGCTTGAGCTCAGGAGCTCGAGACCAGCCAGGGAAACATGGTGAAACCCTGTCTCTACCAAAAATACAAAAATTAGCTAGGCATGATGACGCACACCTGTGTTCCCAGCTACTCAGGAGGCTGAGGTGGGAGGATCACTGGAGCCTGGGAAGTCAAGGCTGCAGTGAGCCATGATTGCACCACTGCACTCCAGCCTGGGTGACAGAGAGAGACCCTATCTCAATATGTGTGTGTGTGTGGATGTGCACATGTGTGTGTTTGTGTGTGTGTGTGAATCCTTGAGAATCCAGGATTCTTGGCTGGCTATGGCTGAACATAATGAAAATACGTCCAATATTAAGACATAGGACTCTTAGAAGTCCATGGTAGATGGCAAAATAGCTAATTAAAAGAGTCCATTAAAAGCTTTGGGAGACTGCCATAGAAGAGTATGAAGGATATGAGTAAATCAAAAACTGTGGGTTAAACAGATGGTTAATTTTAACAATCTTGGATGCCTTAAACAAAGAATGTCAAGATCAAAATTACACTTTATTGTCTCTGTCAGGTCTCCTGTGTGAAAGGTAGGCCATTTAGTGGAAAGAGCAGAACTTCAAGAATTAGAAGGAAGACATGTGGGAGAATTCGAAGGTCTCAGACAGCTCCAAACCTGGAAGCCTCCACTATATCTCCTTGCTGTCAGTTGAAACATCCCTACCTCTCCTGTCTGACGACATGGTTTTTGTACATGCACACACACAGACACACACACACACACACACTTCCCATTTTATCAAATAGATTCGTAAACAGCTGTGTACTCAAGGATCAAGATTTAATAAAATTAATACCTATTACTGCATCATCAGTGTCATCAATGATATTCTTAAGTAAAACTGGCGTCATTTTTTTTTTTTTTTTTTTTTTTTGAGATGGAGTCTTGCTCTGTCGCCAGGCTGGAGTGCAGTGGTGTGATCATGGCTCACTGCAACCTCTGCCTCCTGGGTTCAAACTATTCTCCTGCCTCAGCCTCCTAGGTAGCTGGGACAACAGGTGCATGCCTGCACTCCCAGCTAATTTTTGTATTTTTAGTAGACACAGGGTTTCACCATGTTGGCCAGTATGGTCTCAATCTCTTGACCTTGTGATCTGCCTGCCTTGGCCTCCGAAAGTGCTAGGTTTACCAGTGAGCCACTGCGCCCAGCCCATTTTTTCTTTCTTTTTCTTTGTGCTACAAGTGTATGGGTAAAGAATACAAAGATCGGCCGGGCGCGGTGGCTCACGCCTGTAATCCCAGCACTTTGGGAGGCCGAGGCGGGTGGATCACGAGGTCAGGAGATCGAGACCATCCTGGCTAACAAGGTGAAACCCCGTCTCTACTAAAAATACAAAAAATTAGCCGGGTGCGGTGGCGGGCGCCTGTAGTCCCAGCTACTCGGGAGGCTGAGGCAGGAGAATGGCGTGAACCCGGGAAGCGGAGCTTGCAGTGAGCCGAGATTGCGCCACTGCAGTCCGCAGTCCGGCCTGGGCGACAGAGCGAGACTCCGTCTCAAAAAAAAAAAAAAAAAAAAAAAAAAAAGAATACAATGATCAGTGCCTACCACAGTTTAGTACCACTGCCTTGAGTCATGCTAAGGAGCAGTTTTAGCCACTAGTGCTTTAGCATCATCAGTATAAATTTCAACACAGTGGAAAAAGGCAAATAACACTTTAGTATTACCGTGAAGATAGTTTTAACCTTGCAGAACCACTACAAGGGTCTCAGAAACCCCAAATGTCCATATTCTGAGAGCTGCTGCCCTTGGCAGCCACTGAATTCACTTGGGAATAGAACATTTCTAAATGAGATCATGGTACTTTTATCAGCAAGAAAATTGAATATGGTAATACTTTGGTGAGACATGGGTTCTGTTAGGGAGCTCTAGAATTTAATCTCTACAATACTCTCCTATTTTTTCACCTTCATTGCTGCAGACAATATCTAAGTTCAGGCACATGTCACCTTCTATTTAGCGAGTTCTCTGAAATGTTCTTTGGTTTCTCTGCCTCTAAAATCTCCTTTCTCCAAATGTGCTTCTACACTAACTGTTGCAGATTAATATTCCTAAACCCCCCTTTTATTCCTTTGCACAAATTTCCTTTGCAATTTCCAGTGACTTTTTCTGTCTATCATATAAAATCTAACTGCCTTTCTTTGATTGCCAGGGCTTCCCTTGTTCTGGACCCAGCTTCCAATCCAGAGTTTTTTCCACCTTTTCTTCATAATTTCCAACCTCAGAACATACATAGCATTTCCCAACTCATAGTAGATATTTATCTGAAACTCCCTATTAATGTTTGGGGCACTTCCCTACCTTTTGAGTCTTTATAGATGGCAGAGCCTACCTCCCTCTAAAGAAGTAAAGGACAGACACTTGCTTTCCAGGAATTGTGATAGTTAGGTCATCAGTGCATTATCAAGGCTTAGCCAGTCATTAGAATTAGCCTTTTAGGGCCGGGCATGGTGGCTTATGCCTATAATCCTAGCACTTTGGGAGGCCGAGGCAGATGGATCACCTGAGGTCAGGAGTTCGAGACCAGCCTGGGCAACATGGAGAAACCCTGTCTCTACTAATGATACAAAAATTAGCTGGGCGTGGTGGTGTGCACCTGTAATCCCAGCTACTTGGGAGGTTGAGGCTGGAGAATCGCTTGAACCTGGGAGTCGGAAGTTGCAGTGAGCCGAGGTGTCCCCATTGCACTCCAGCCTGAGTGACGGAGCAAGACTCAGTCAAAAAAAAAAAAAAGCCTCTTAAAGATGGTGAATCTGGAGCTAGTGACATAAAGAGCTAAGGAGGCTTGGATTCATCAGTGGGAGGGCAGAGCAAAGGACCACAGTGGTATCAGTATTCAGTACTGCAGTAGCATCCAGTATTCGAGTGCCACAGTGGAATCAGTATTCATTCAGTACTGCAGTAGCATCCTGTGTTCTAGGGCCACGGTGGTATCAGTACACAGTACTGCAGTAGCATCCGGTATTCGAGGGCCATGGTGATATCAGTATTCAGTACTGCAGTAGTATCCAGTATTCAAGAGCTACAGTGGTATCAGTATTCAGTACTACAGCAGCACGCAGTATTCAAGGGCCATGGTGGTAGCAGTGCCAGCAGCAGCAGCAACTGCAAACATGCTGGTGGTGCCAGTGGCATTACAGTTGCTAGTTGTTGTGCTCAGGGTGTGGTGAAAGTGGTAACAATGTCCTACCCAAATCAGTTTTGCATAGGATTTTAGCCATTTTCCTTGCTGAGTTTCTTCTTTTTTATGCCCATTTTCTGAGCCTACCTCTCTAGCCCCCTATATGATTCTTTTCAATATCCTTTCAGTATACTTCTTTTCTGCTTGTATCAGCTAAAAGCTATTTCTGTTACTTGCAACTGAGAACCTTGACTAATTCTGAAATTAGTTTGTGGAGGTCGCATCAACAATCCTTCAGGAAAAAGAAGGTCGGGGAGAATACAGGATTCTTGCCTGGCTGTGGCTGAATATAATGGAAGCACGTTCAACATTAAGACATGGGACTCTTAGAAGTCCATGGCAGATGGCAAAGTAGCTAATTAAAAGAGTCCATTAAAAGCTTTGGGGTTATGGAAAAAAATAAAAGAAAATTTAAAAAGAAAAAAAAAGCTTTGGGACTTGCCATAGAACAGTATGAAGGGCATGAGGAAAATTACAGACTGTGGGTTAATCAGATGGTTAATTTTAACAATCACGGATATATCAAACAGAGAACAACAAGCTCAAAATTACACTCTGTTGTTTCTGTCAGGTCTCCTATGTGAAAGGTTGGGTATTTAGTGGGAAAGAGCAGAACTTCAAGAATTAGAAGAAAGACACATGGGAGAATTCAGAGGCCTCAGACAGCACCAAACCTGAAAGCCTCCATTAAACCTCCTAATTGTCAGTTGAAGCCCCCCTACCTCTCCTGTCTGATGACATGGTTCCTGCCTTGCTGTAAGACCTTATAGCATTCCTGTATAAAGGAGTTACCCTGAAAGAGAAATGCAATTCTTCCTCATGCCCTCACATTATTGTCACATTATCTCTAGACCTATACCTAGAGTCAGATCCCAGGATTCCTCAGAGGAGCAATTTAAAAGTCATACCTGAAAAGATACAGAGTACACATCAATATGGTTGGCAAAAATCTGGAGAATATAGATGTAAACAGGTTTTGAGTATGTGATGCCAAGGAAAAAAGGACTCAAACTTAGTCAAGCTGAATTTGTGGATATGGGTGTGCTTACCAGTTATTCTGGATTCCTTGTGAAAACTTAGACAGCTTGGAGTCTTCTGGTTTTTGGTTTAATTGGTTGACTAATGCATAGATTGAATGGTGGCCCATGCTAACTGAAGCTGAGATGTTAAGATGGCAAGAAAGATGGGAGCCTGGGTCACTGATGATAACACAGAGCTGCCGAATGAGCTCTTGAACAGTGCATCATGAGATTGCATTTATATGGGCAATAAAAGCTTTGATCTTGTTTGGGCGAATATTACAAGTATATCTCTTCTATGAAGCAAAGTTAATTCTAATTAGTACAACATGAAAAGTACACATCTCAAATCTATTAGCCTTTTTCAAAAGGACAGATGGAAATTTATCAAGACAACTGTATGTTAGAATTCATGATGTATTTTTTCTTGGAAAAAAAAAGTACACATTCCTAATTCTATCCACTGAAAAGACCCAGGAACAATGACAAGCCCAGTAGCAATGAGCACCCTAGTACCCACTAAAATGAACAAGGGCACCTTGGAACAATGACCAATAGTAGAGCTGAGTAAAGAAATGTAAAAAATGAATGTCCTTCCTTGTATCAGGAGGCAAGGAATCTGTCAAAGGCTAATGGGATGCCAGAAGGTCACAGGAGCCAACTTGAATGGTCTCTCATTGTCCAAAGATTACATCATTTGGGATCAAAAAGAATGACTCAAATTACTAAAAACACAACATATATATACAAATGAAATCGTCAATGATAATGCTAGAAGAAAATCATCCCATGGCTTATCAGTAGAAGTGGCTAGGACATAACTTATTACCATAAAAAATAGATAAAGGGACACATAAAACATTTATTCTGTCTTTCTTGTATGTATTTTATTTTTCTGGTAAACAAATGATTGATAAAGAGCTCTCTTCATAGAAGAGTTTCTGTTAATAAATACAGAAAGAATGAAAGAATTAGAAAATCATCACATTTCAATTCCAAAATGGCAAAAGAGACCTAAGACTTGATTATTAATAAGTGCCAAAATTGGCCAGACACAGTGGCTTATGCATGTAATTCCAGACTTTTGGGAGCCTGAGGCAGGAGGATCATTCGAGTCCAGGAGTTCGAGATCAGCCTGGACAACATAGACCCCCATCTCTATCAAAAAACAAACAAACAAATAAAAAAAACATGTTTTTAAATTAGCCACGCATGGTGGCGTGGGCCTGTAGTCCCATCTACTCGGGAGGCTGAGATAGGAGAATTGCTTGAGCCCCTGAGTTCAAGGTTGCAGTGAGCTATTATCCTGCCACTGTACTCCAGCCTGAGTGATGGAGTGAGACCCTGTCTCAGAAGAAGGAGAAGGAGAAGGAGAAGAAGAGAAAATAAAATAAAAGAATAAGTGTCAAAACTGTTAGATGAAATATGGGTGGGGGATTTACAGTGGATGGATCAGGCTGATCACACATGAACTCACTGATCAGTCCTGGCATTGGAAAAATGAGACCATCGGCCAGTATGAGCCTCCTGATGTAAGACAATAGGATCATCACCATCTCTGAAATACTTTTCACCCCAAAAATGAGACTGTATTTATTCACATATTTAGCCAAGTCCCTACAGGAATGTGTAAAATAAAACATAAAGCCACTTCCAGGATGTGGGAAATTCTTTTAAAAAAAAAATTTTGAACAAGTAAATGACATAAAAATAAGAGGGATCTATATCACAATAAATTACAAGAGACTTAGCAACCAACATTGTTTGGCTCCTGATCCAAACACTTGAGAAAATTAGGAGGATTTGATTATGTTCTAGGTACAAGGTGACATTAAGAAATTATTGTTGACTTTAGGCCTGGCATGGTGGCCCACGCCCGTAATCCTAGCACTTTGGGAGGCTGAGGCAGGCGGATCACGAGGTCAGGATATCGAGACCATCCTGGCCAACATGGTGAAACCCCATCTCTACTAAAATCCACAAAAAAAAAAAAATTAGCCAGGCGTGGTGGCATGTGCCTGTAGTCCCAGCTACTTGGGAGGCTGAGGCAGAGGAATCACCTGAACCCAAGAGGCGGAGGTTGCAGTGAGCCTAAGCCAAGATGGTGCCACTGCACTCCAGTCTAGTGACAAAGCAAGTCTCAAAAAAAAAAAAAAGAGAGAGATAGAAAGAAAGAAAGAAAGAAAGAAAGAAAGAAAGAAAGAAAGAAGAAAGAAAGAAATTATTGTTGATTTTATGTGATATAGTGATATTATTGTTATCTTAAAATGTTAGAGATCCATTCTAAAATATTTATGGATGAAATGATATGACGTCTGGGATTTGCTTTATTATATACTTGTTAAAGCCAGAAGGGAACTGATGAAACTAGATTGGCAAAATGCTGATAGTAGTTGAATCTGGGGATTTACAATATCAATATTCCTGCTTTTGTGTATGTATGAAGAAGAAAAGGAAAAGGAGAAGAAAATGCAGATGACTTCTGGTGCTTCTTCTTCCTTCTTCCTGTTTCTTCATCACGAATGGTATGTGACTACAGGGCTTACAGTGTAGCCACCATCAAGTGACAATAAGGCAAACATGAGCATGGGAATAAAAATAATGTAAGAATAGTAGACAAATACAAAGGAAAATGCTGAGCTGTTACACCAATTCCTCACCTACTGTGGATACCTTTTTGTGTGAGACACCTCAATCTCTACATAAGTAAGCCACTGTGAGTGGAATTTTCTGTTCACTGCAGGCTCACATTGTGGTTACTAATACAGTTTGACTCAATTACCACCAGTGATTCGGGGCTCTTCACGTCCCCTGGGTAAACTTAGCTAGAATGACTGGCACTAACAAAAAATAGGGTTGCTGCTTCACAATAAAGTCAAATCCCCAAATCAACAGGCTCAAAAGAAGTTTGTATTCTCTTTTGCCATGCCAGAGAGAAAATATTGGAAGGTCATATGGAAGATTTTGCCTTTTGTCAGTTATTTCTGGGTAGTTTATTAGAGCTTGGAACTAATGAGGCCATGGATACCTTTTTGTCTATTTTAGTGGCCAAATCAATGGTTTTGCTGTAGTTTGGTATCACACCAAACTTCTAAACTATAGTTTAAATCAATGGTTTTGCTGTAGTTTGGTATCACACCAAACTTTTAAAGTATAGTTTAAATCAATGGTTTTGCTGTAGTTTGGTCACACACCACTGATTAGGGCACAGAGATTTTGAGTGTTCATGCTATAATCCCAGGGTAAACATATATTTGGATCACTGACGGTATTAAAACCACATTCTAACTGCATGGTTCAGTGAATCAATTTCATTATCTTCATATATGTTAAACAGAGCTTGTTGACTGAATCTGTCCTTCAAAACATAATCTGGTAGAAAATTTCATTTATTTCACAAAATTTGAATTGGCACTTTCTTGCTACTTATCTCAATACACTAGAAGAACAGAAATAGTTCCTCTATTAGGTTCACAAGATGACTAACAAAAAGGCATCATATTAAACAAACCCTCTATTACCCAATTTTCTACCTAGAGGGGTGACGTGGGAAATGATTTGGCCTTTAATGATTTCTTTCACGTCCAAAGTTTGCTCTTGTTTTCATGATTCTGTTGATCTCTGGATTCCACAAGTATGCAAATGACTTACCACTGTGCAAACAACTATGCATTAGTCAGAACGTTCATAAAGTTTTGCATAGGAACCTGGAGGAGGTTCATCATAAAAGGACAGATATAATTTAAAATTTGGTAGTAAGGAGTGAGTAAAGGAAGTGAATTTATATGAACTGAAATAAAGAAGGTTTAAGAAGGATTAAGTCTTGTTTTTGAGTATTAAAAAGGTTTGTGTACAAATGATACAAAACAATTATCCTCAGTCCCATGTGGCAGATAGAAATTACAGCAGAGAGAATTTAAACCAGACATTAGAAGAAATCTAAGGACTGTAAAACATGGATCTATATTTCCACATCATTATAGAGTTAGTTTTTTAAAATCAATATGGAGTTATTAGTTATTTTCAAATAACTCAAACTAAAAACAGGATGATTTAACTCAATTTCCTAAAACAAATATTCACATGAACTCTCTGCAGGAATAGAGTAATAAGTGAGACACATCTCTGCCCTCTGAGAGTTACAGTGTTGGAAGGATGGTGAGTAGAATTAGCCAAATACAAAAATAACTGCAAAATAAGGTGTAACTGCCAGGCGAGGTGGCTCACACCTATAATCCCAGCACTTTGGGAGGCTGAGGCAGGAGGATCACTTGAGGCCAGGAGTTCAAGACCAGCCTGGCCAATATGGTGAAACCCTGTCTCTACTAAAATATACAAATTAGCCAGACGTGGTGGCTCGTGCCTGTAATCCCAGCCACCCAGGTGGCTGAGGCAGGAGAATCGCTTGAACCCAGGAGGTGGAAGTTGCAGTGAGCTGACATTGAGCCACTGCACTCCAGCCTGGGCAACAGAGTGAGATTCTGTCCCCAAAAAATAAAAATAAAAATAAAAAATAAAATATAAAGTGTAACTGACAAATACCAAAGCAAAATCCTATATTTCTCCAAGTCATGCCACTGTAATGATAATGTATCAGGCTATGTTATTGGTAGCAAAAACTGTGATACAGATGTGTCAGCCCTTAGAGCTATGTTTGCTCCTCAAAGTGAGGCTGCACCTTGGCTGAATGACCAGAAGATGGATTCACTACAGACAATAGAAAGAGGCTGCCATTTGGCTATAGTGTGCAGAAATATCATCTAGCACAGTTGGTAACCAAGGCCGAGCATTAGTGATTTTCTTATCTCACCTTTGAGGAAGTGTATAAGGAGAAGGGAGGTTTCAAGTTAGCAAAGCTTGCAAAAGGCAGCAAATGCATTTAGCTAATCTTTCAATTTCATAAATTCTAATTCAAAATAGGCATAGACAAGTTTTAATTTTAAAATTTCTACAGTATGACCATGTATTTGCATCTCTGGTAATTGATAGCATGACCATATAAAAAATACCATAAGTAAACCTTGATGAAGAAGCTGAATAGCAAAGGAAGAATAGTTTTAAAACTTGCTCTCTGAGTATTGCTATGCTTTGGGCACTTAATAAGTACATTTAGATTCATTACTAAAATATTTATTAAAATCAAATATCCTCTTAGAAATGGCATTGACTTAAAACACACTTAGCCTACCTGATTCTCATGGGTATGTGTTAAATAAGCTTTCTGGAAACAAGATACAAGGAAACACTTTCTTCCCACATTTCCTAGTGTCCCTTTAACACTGGTAGGAACACGGTATCTAATAAAACAGCTTTCTTCAAAAGTCAAAGTGTAAAAACTAATTTGCAATAAAATATAACCTGGTTGGTAGTCATTCAACATTCATCATTAAGAAAATGTTGAAACTGTTATAGAAAAATTGACAATGCTATGACAAAACAAGTTAAAGAAAAATACAAATGTCTAATTAAAATGAAAAAATATGTTATCAAAGAAATTACAAATTAAATGTTTTCCCATTATATTTATAAAATATTTTAAATTCTAATGATTAGTATTGAGGATTGTGGTATTTAAATGAACAGTTGCAAACAGCTAGTATAAGTAGAACTTAGCACGATATTTATGGAAAGCAAACTAGAGATTCAGATCGTAAGTCTTTAAAAGGCTTATAACTGTGACCAGGTTTTTCGATCTTTAGAGTTTATCCTAAGGCATAAAAAGCTTGGAGAAAGACCTAGATTCAATGATGTGCATTATTAATAATAGTGAAAAGTTAGTCCTATTGGACTCCATGGGCAAGGCAACCATGAGAACCTTTGCTTAGTATCACATTTGTCTGCACTGCAATGATGCACAGAAATAGCAATAAATACGCTGCTCGATGTTTTTCAGCATATGTAATTCATAGTGGAGGGTCATATTTCCTAAGAAAATGTCTGGCAATTTGTGAGAAATGTGTTAGGAGTGGAGGTGGGACAATGGGTTTGATAATACTTAGAAAACTCTGTGGGTTAGACAGCTTGGGCTGCCATACAAAATAACACAGTCCGGGTGGCTTTCAACAACATAAACTTATTTTCTGACAGTTCTGGAAGCTAAAGGTGAGGTTGCCAGCATGGTCAGGTTCTAGTGAGGACCCTCTTCCTGGCTTTCAAATGGCCACCTTTGAGCTGTAGCCTCACATTCAGAGAGAGGGGCACAGGGAGAGAGAGAGGGCTCTCTGGTATCTCTTCTTTTAAGTGCACTAATCTCATCATGAGGGTCCCACCCTCATGACCTCACCTAAACCTGATTCTCTCCCAAAGGCCCCATCTCCAAATATCATGGCATTGGAGGTTAGGGCTTCAACATATGAATTTGAGAAGGAAACAATTCAGTCCATAGTGCTATATTTAAAAAATAAAGTTTCTATGTCAACTTAACTATATAATAATACTAATAAATAAAAACCACACTGAGTTTAACTCATGTGTTAAAGCTCTAGCACTCTACTGTAATACTTTTAAAAACAAAAAAGTACTGAAAAATCTCTATTTGGTACGACAGGATTAGAAAATCATGATTTTGTAACACCTAGTAAATGTTTGCTGAAACCATAGTGTGGAACATACTGTTGGGAGAACAGGATATTCCTGCAGTGCCCTAGGATCACCTCTGAGATTATTTATTAATTCCAAAGAGTAAAATGTACCTTTGCAACCTGGTGATCTGGTAGTTGCCATCCAAACTTAGTATCACCAGTAATAGGACAACCTGACGTGTGTCACCTGATAACATATGAAGTCACAATATTACCTATCTTGAGAACAAAATTAAACATTCTTGACAAATAGGTTAAACCTGAATTTAATCAAGTCTAGACCTAAATACACAAAATAAAGGGGATAGACAAACAGGTTGAACAACACCATGGGAAACAGTCAGGATATGGGACATATTATATAGGAAAACTGGCTCAGCCTCTTCAAATAGTCAACGTCATGAAAAAATATTTGGGTAGAGAATTTTTCTTTTTTTCCTTCCTTTTTTGTTTTTCTAGAGACAGGGTCTCATTCTGCTCTCCAGGCTGGAGTGCAGTGGCGTGATCACAGCTCACTGCAGCCTCGAACTCCTGGGCTCAGTTGACTCTCCCACCTCGGCCTTCCAAAGCACTGGGATTACAGGCATAAGCCACCACGCCCAGCCAGTCGAGGATTGTTCTAGATTAAAAGAGAAAGAGGGGCGATCAAACTCAATAATCAAATTCCATACATTCAAATATACATCTGTAAAAGGAATTTGGAGACAAGAGGGAGAATTTGACTACAGACTGGATATAAAATAATATAAAATTATTGTTAAGTTTCTTGAGCATAATAATAGCATTGTGATTAAGTAAAGTATTCTTATTCTTAGAAACTTTATAGTGGTATATTTAGGAGTGAAGTTTCATATGTCTGCAAATGACTTTCAAATATTTCGGAATAAAAATTATTTTATGCATGTATATAGACAGAAATATTTAAATATTTGCCAGCATGTTAATTTTTGAACTTAGTGGAAGGTACGTGAATATTCTTTGTACCATTCTTTCAACTTTTCTCTGTATTTAAAATTTTAAAATAAAAAGTTGAAAAATACATTTAAACTTTTTAAATTTAAGAATAAGTAATACGACCAGGCACAGTGGCTCACTGTAATCCCACCACTTTGGGAGGCTGAGATGGGTGGACTCCTTGAGCCCAGGATTTCAAGACCAGCCTGTGCAACATGGCAAATACTCGATCTCTACAAAAAATAAAAAAAAATTAGCCAGGCGTGGTGGTGCACGCCTGTAGTCCCATTCACTCAGGAGGCTGAGGCAGGAGGATCACTTGAGCCTAGGAGGTCGAGGCTGCAGGGAGCTGTGAGTGTACCACTGCATCCAGCCTGGGCAACAGACTGAGACTCTGTCTCAAAAAAATAAAATAAAAATAAAAATACATAATACTAGTATATAAGACATGTGATAAATATGTAAGTTAGAAAAATTATACCCATTATCTGATCTAAGATCCAGAACATGAACAATATCATTAAATCTGGATATATGCTCTTCCTCATCCTAACCCTCTAACTTCTCCCCAACTATCTTGATATCTGTAAAATTTGTTATAGACATTTTCAAGCATATACAAAAAGCTCTAGCCCCAGCTCTGCAGTTTCTTTTTTTTTTTGTGTTTATGTTGTTGTATGTTCTATGTTATCCTTAGAGAATTCCTTTATCATTTGCAAAACCAGCAATGCCTCCAATGTGTATCAATAAGTTAAATATTCTGTAAAGGAAGATCCTCTCAGAGATATTTAGTCCAACATAATTTCAGAAGTGGAAATCCTTCATCCAATTTTTAACCTTTTTGTAAATAAATATATACTGTTATTTCAGTTAGGGTCAGTTTTTTAAAAATAGCATTGTTTTGGATACAATGTTTCTTTCTATACAGAAACAAATTGATTTTAATATGAAATGGAGAATATATCTGATGACTACCATCACCTGGGGACCCTGTCCTCCTGCTTCATTCAGTTAATTCATTGCTACTGTAATTTCTTTGCAAAACAGAAATGAAACTTAGTTCTCTGTTCTGAGGACCAGTTGAGCGGAATATAAGTATGCCAGTCAGGAGACGGATATTCTTGGAGTTTAATGAGAAAAGTAGCACTTAGTTGAGGATAAAGAATTCTAGTTAGTAAATAAAATGAACTGAGTAGAACATTGAATAACTGAGAACAAGAAGCATTGAAAAAAAAAGGAAGGAAAGAAAGACTTGAGTCAAAACTTGGAGTCCTATTAAAGAGGAAATAAGAAGAGGAAGTGGTTTATAGAGTAAGAGTTTTTATATATTAACTTGAGATTTTTTACCTCTATTGACAGGAAACATAATGGTGGCCATTAAAAAAGAAAAGAAAAAAAGAAGAGAAGAGAAGCAGAAAGAAAAGAAAAAAGCTGGGTTTGGAGCAGTGGCTCTGGCCTTTAATCCCAGGGCTTTGGGAGGCCAAGGTGGGAGGATCATTTGAGGCTAGGAGTTCAAGACAGCCTGGGCAACATAGTGAGACTTCATCGCTACACATACAAAAAAATTAGTCTGGCATGGTGGCACACCTATCATCCCAGGAATTCAAGGTTACAGTGAGCTAGGACCATGCCACTGCACTCCAGCAAGACCCTGTGTCAAAAAACAAAAAAACAAAACTAATACATTATGGGAAGAAATTGTTAAGGCATAAAGTAATTATACTTTTCACATTAATCAGTTTTCCCTTGTGTATCTAGTTGCTCTCTCATGGTTTGATTTTAAAGAAAGATAAAATGTTGTATACCTTTTATCTGCTGGATTCCCTTAAGCATGATCTCATTTAATTCTCAAAAAATTCTAAAAGACAAGGATCAAACTCTTGATTTTATGACTGAAGTTAATTTGGGCTCAGAGAGGTCAAGTACAAATACAAATGACGGGACTAAGAAGGGTAAGATAATCTGATTTCTCTGGCTCCAACTTAATGCTTTTTATTTACAAGGCTAACCTACCTCAATAGCCTAAATAAATTTGTAAGTTATACCAACTTTCATAAGACTAGAGTTTCTGAGCTCTCAATAAATATAAGATTAGATAATTTGATTATTACTAATCAATCTGAAAGATAAATCTTAATATAATGAGCTTTTAAGTTGCCAGTGGTAGTTAGAAAAGCAAAAAACAAAGTTCCCAGAAGATAAAGTACAATAGGTATATGCACACACTTTGTGTGTGTGTGTGTCTGTGTGTGGTAAGAACACTTAACATCCACTCTGCATTTCTCAGAAATATATGGTCATTAACTATAGTCTTCATGCTATACAATAGATCTCTTGAACTTACTCCTATCTAACTGTAATTAATATATTCTTTGACCAATATCTCACAGCCCCCCCTCCCCACTAGCTCCTACAGCATCTAGTAACCACCATTCTACTCTCTACTTCTATGAGGTCAACTTTTTTAGATTCCATATATGAGTTAGATCATGTGGTATTTGTCTTTCTGTGCCTGGCTTATGTAACTTAATGTTCTCCAGGTTCACCCATGTTGTCATAAATGACAAGATTTGGGGTTTTTTCAATTAAGTGTATATTGTATACATATTTAAAACATCCATCTAGTAAACAAAAAATGACAAAAGAAATTATGCATTAATTTTGCCTTTAACCTTGGCAGCTTATATTTATGCTAGCAGAACGCTATGACACAGATGCTTCTATGATTGTTCTTTGGAGTTACAGTGGACATAAAATTGATATGTGCTCACTTACAGACAATTTTGGTGATTCAGTTTGCCAAATGCATTTTTCTTTCCTTCCTTTTTTAAGGTTTTCTTTCTTTGAAAAGAAAACCTGTTCATGTAGAATTTCCATTTCTAGCCCAACAGAAATAGAATTGGAAGTCATGTCAAAATTTTATGGAGAATGTTATACATCCTGACACTATTTATAAGGGTGAAAGAACAGAAGGAATTGAACAACAAGGGGGAAATCATTGAATAAAATATGGTACTTTCATATGTTACTTATTATATGGCCATTAAAATTAATTTCTCAAATAATTATTAATTATATAAAAATTTTGAGTTCAAAAAGCAAGATACAATGTTGGATATACAGTATAATCTAAAATACCTTCAGAAATATACACACACATAGAGAAGAACTATTAAAGGAAAATTCACCAAAATATTAACAGATGTTATTTCTGGGTTGTGGTATTACGGATAAGATTTTTATGCTGAATTGCCAAAGTTGTCTACAAGTGAGCACATATTAATTTTATAATAAAAAGGCTACAAGCCTGATTTTTAAATGACAAGGTTTAGTCATCTTTTATTGATGTATTGGTAATGATGTTTCCTATAAAAGATATAGTATGGATCCTTGAATTCTTTTATTTTTAAAATTTATTTGTCCATAGACTTTACTTTTGGGTTTAAATATTGGGGACAAATAAGCATCATATTCCTTAAATGCTGACTGGTCAACTAAAATTAAACAATTAGCGTATTTTATCATGTACGTGGTTATTAAAGAGTTCTAATTCAGGAGAGGTATAAATATAAGATGGTTTTGTTTTCTTTAATCAAACACACTTTGTTAATAACATCTTAGGCAGATTCCAGATTCCATAGGATGCAGTCACTTTTTTCTCAGCTTCCTCTCCCTCTAGTACAGGTTTGACCAGTAGCCAAAGACCCTAAATTGTGAAGAGAGGTATAGTCTGCTCACCCAGTTCCCTTTTTCCTTCTTCTTCAAAGTGTAGGTTCAATGGGGACAGGAGCGAGGAAAGAGGGATTGAGGCAAATTGACCAGGTGGAAAGATAGTTCTTTGTACATTAGTTCTTGTTATTGGACTGGTCATGAATACCCACTGTCCCAGGCATCCAAAACACTGGCTCTCTCATGTGGTGCCTGCGTGAGTTCTTTGGCAATGGTGAAGGACTTCTCCACCACACAGTTCCCTAAACTGTGGGAGACCTGGCTCCAGTTCAACCCCTTTAAGTCCCTTTTACTCACATACTCCCACCATCTGTGGGATACCCACAGTCTCCAGCTATTGGAGTCTCCTTTCCTGGCAGGAAGTGATCCTAAGTGGTATTCCGAGTAGATGGCTCAAATCCAGCTCTATTCCTTCCTTCTCACTGGACTCACAGAAACTCATATATCCTGTCCTGTTGGAAGATTGGTTGCATTAAGAGTTCCAGTTCTTTTACCTTCCTTATGTCCACACCCTTTAACATGACCTTGCAGACTCCTTCAGTAAAGATATGAAGTTTACTTTCCTCTTCCTCAAGTCTAGGCTTGCCTTTGGATTTCTTTGTCCCAAGATGATTTTATTTTCTTTAATTGATGCTGTTTTGGGGTTGAGGGATTTCTTCGGCCAATGGGTCATTAGCAAATAAGACACAAGCAGGAACTTGGAAAGTGTTGATGCAATTGGGCTTGCATGCTCTTGCTCACTGCCATCACCATGAGAAGGCCATGTTTGTGTTGACCCACTGATCCAAGATCTGAAATGCCAAAGCTATACTAGTTGACAAATTCCTAAGTCACTCAACAGCCATCACCCCTCAGAAAAATGAGTGAACCCAACCCAGATCAGCTGAAACTCTCAGATTTTTGAGTGCAATAAATGCCTGTTGTAGCCACCACAATTTCATTTTGTTTGTTATGGGACATTATTGTGGTAATAGATGATTTGTATACTCCATCTAATTGTGGTTATACAAGCTGGTCCATTCAATTTCTTCTTTCCATCTAGCCTTCTTTCCCTGATTCCCTTTTCCTATGCTCAGATAAACACAAGGGAAGAGCATCACGTTGACTGCCTAAGCAAATTGTCATGAACTTTGAAGACTCTGAAAGTTACTTGCAAGCTAAGCAGTTAGCAAGCCATAGCTCCAAGGATGCTGGTAAGAAACACAAGACTCCTAGGTCAGAGAAAAACGGTTTATTCACAGCAAGAGCAGTAGCCAGAGTATCATCAATTTTGTGCTGGCTCCTCAAGCCCCAGTTCCCAAAAGGAGTCATGAAGAGGTGCAGATGACACCTACACATGAAGTGAGCTGCATTTCAAGAAACTTTGAGCTTAGGGAACCCAAATCTTTTTTTTTTTTTTTTTGAGACAGAGTTTCACTCTTGTTGCCCAGGCAGGCTGGAGTGCAATGGGGCAATCTCAGCTCACCACAGCCTCCACCTCCAGGGTTCAAGCGATTCTCCTGCCTCAGCCTCCCAAGTAGCTGGAATTACAGGCACGCACCACCACGCCTGGCTAATCTGTATTTTTAGTAGAGGTGGGATTTCTTCATGTTGGTCAGGCTAGTCTCAAACTCCTAACCTCAGGTGATCTGCCCACCTTGGCCTCCCAAAGTGCTGGGATTACAGGTGTGAGCCACTGCACCCGGCCAGGAACCCAAATCTTTTAAGACAGGCACTCGGGGAGCCTAACTTTTGCTTAGAGGCAGGTGTCTTTATGATACTAGATAGCAAGCATGCATGCCCTTTGCTCTGGAGGGATACACCATCTCTAACTTTCAAGGCCGTGTGCTAGACAAACATCCTTGAAAAGACCAGAAAAGGTGGTCCATGCTTTGCTTGTAGGACATGTGGGTGTGTGAAATAATGTGGGTATGAGGAATTTTCTCTTAACACAGATGTCTTCCAGGAAACAGAATGACAGTCCCTTTTTCTAGTCAATTATTCCCAATGTTTAGAAGAGATTCTCTGGTTTCCTCCCCTCTCCCTCCACTTCCACTAGGCTGACAACTCCCAGCTCTTTCTCATTCTCTTGACTTTCAGGCTTCTTATAGAGACTGAGAAAGGATGATGGGCACCAGTCATTGCAGAACCAGATCTGTGGTCTCTAAGCAATCCCAGCCTTCAGTTAACAGGAAAAGTCCCTGTTCTGTTACAAATGAACCATATTGCTCAATATGTGTGTGGACAACAGACTGACTTAAGAAATAATGCAATCAGGCAGCAGATACTTGACAAAAACTCAGAGATGCCCAAATTTCGATGTACAGTATAGATGTGTACTATTGGAACTTGGCAGCAAATGCCATATGAATAAGTCTTGCAGAAATCTTAGGCAGAGTTCCTTTTAGGCTATTCCACATCTCACATAATATACAGCCTATGAGGCAAAAAACACTTAGACTCACCCAATAATAAATACCCTTTTTGTGAATGACATCTCAAAGTTAACAGGCAAGCCACAGATATTTGCAATATTGCAACCAATAAAGGATTGATATTCAAAATATTTAAGGATTCCTTAGTATCCATGAGAAAACAATGGGCAACTGTGATGGCCATGGAATTGCATTACCCAGATCTCCCTTCAAGAGAAACTGCTAAGGAAGAGCAGTTGGCAGATAGCTGCAACACCTCTGGATCCACTGTAGTGTTCATATCAAGGCCAGGTTCTCCAGGTCAGCTCCCAGAGAGCAACTGAACATGGCAAGCATCTAGGGTCTGACTATTCCCTCCCAATACCAGATTACTCTGACAGGTGTTCTTTATTCTGGGACTCCATATTGGTCCAGCTGAGACTTTCTCAGAGCTGCATTGCAGTGAGAGACTTTTACCCTGACACTCTTCCTTCTCTCTTTTCACAAGTGTCAAACATGCATTAAGGCCTGGAGGTTTTCCCTATCTACCCCAATCACATTTATCCTTCACAGGCATTCCCCCTAACCAACGTCTCTGTAGATGTCTATCTTGGTGCATCTGCTTCCTAGAGGACTCAGACTGACACAGGAACCCCATAAAAGACAGCAAAAGATTTGAACAGGGCAGGGCGGGGTGGCTCACGCCTGTAATCCCAGCTCTTTGGGAGGCTGAGGCTGGTGGATAACTTGAGGTCGGAATTTGGGACTAGCCTGACCAACACAGTGAAACCCCATCTCTACTAAAAAAAAAAAAAATACAAAAATTAGCCAGGCGTGGTGGCATGTGCCAGTAGTCTCAGCTATTTGGGAGGCTGAGGAAGACGAAGTTCTTGAACCTGGGAGGCAGAGGTTGCAGTGAGCCAAGATCACACTACTGCACTCCAGCCTGGGCAACAGAGCAAGACTCCATCTCAAAAAAAAAAAAAAAAAAAAAACTTGAACAAGTAATTCATAAAAAACAAAGCCCAAGCCCAAATTAGGTATACATAGATACACATACAATACACACACACAAAGGATGAAATGTGGGTTGAAAAAAATCTACCTCAATATATGAAACTGAGGATCAATTGAAGGAAAGAAAATGGAATTACAATTCAGAAAAGTAAGCCCCGTTGAAAAAAGTGGGGTTATTTATGGACCAAGCAAAGGACTATAAAGATCAGTGGTCCTGGTAATTGTAATGGTCTACATTTACTGAGCTCTTACTATGTGTTGAGCACTGCTCTGAGTTCCCATGCACAAACACAGGTACTACTATAACCTCTATTTTAGAGATGAAGACATTGAGGGACACAGATTAGCTAGTGTGTCCAAATTATTTTTAAAAAAATCCACTCAAGTTCTATTTAAAGGGTCATATATATACATGGTTTAGAGACTCTATTCTAAACGCTATTTAAAAATATGATGGGAAATGAAAATAGGAAGAAATATAGCATTCAACCACATTTTAATTTTGTGATCTTGGGCACATTTCTTTAGATGAGGAAACATTCAGTTTCCTCATCTAAAACATAGGGATAGTGCTGTTTAAATTTTGAGACAAGGTCTCACTCTGTTGCCTAGGCTGGAGTGCAGTGGTACAGTCATAGCTCACTGCAACCTCTGCCTCCTGGGCTCAAGTGATCCTCCTGCCTCAGCCTCCTGAGTGAATGGGACTACAGGCGTGCACCACCACGCCTGGCTAGTTTCGTATTTTGTGTAGAGTTGGGGTCTTGCTATGTTGCCCAGGCTAGGCTTGAACTCCTGGTCTCAAGTGATCCTCCCACCTCAGCCTCCCA